>NT_187506.1:0-150742 GCF_000001405.40 Homo sapiens | reverse complement strand
GAATTCAATGGGATGGAATGGAGTGGAGTGGAGTGGAATGTAGTGGATTGGAGTGGAGTGGAATGGAATGGAATGTAATGGAGAGGAGTGGAGTGGAATGGAGTGGAATGGGAAGGGATGGAATGGAATGGAATGGAATGGAATGGAATGGAATGGAATGGAAAGGAATCATGAAATCAAATGATAGCTGAGATTATGACACTGCAATCCATCCTGGGTGACAGAGTGAGATCTTGTCGACAGAAAGGAATAGAATGGAATGGTGTGGAATGGAACGGCGTAGAATGCAGTGGATTGGAGTGGAGTGAAATGGAGTGGAATGGAATGGGATGGGATGGAGTGGAATGGAATGGAGTGAAGTGGAATGGAGTGGAGTGGAATGGAATGGGATGGGATGGAAAGGAGTTGAGTGGATTGGATTCAAATGGAATGGAGTGGAGTGGAGTGGAGAGGAGTGTAGTTGAATGGAATGGAATAGAATGGAATAGAATGGTTAAATGAAATGTGAGCTGAGATTGTGCCACTGCACTCCATCCTGGTTGACAGGTGAGATCCTATCGAAAGAAAGGAATGGAACAGATTAGAGTGGAATGGAATGGAGTGGGGTGGAGTGGGGTGGAGTAGAGTGGAGTGTAGTGGAGTATAGTGGAATGAAGAGGAATGGAATGGGATGTAATGGAAAGGAATGCAGTGGAGTGGAGTAGAGTGGAGTTTCGTGGAGTGGTGTGGAATGGAATGGAATGGAATGGAATGGAATCGAATGGCACGTTGAAATGAAATGTGGGCTGACATTGTGCCACTGCACTCCAGCCTGGGTGACGGAGTGAGTTCCTGACGAAATAAAAGAATGGAATGGAATGGATTGGAATGAAATGGAATGGAATAGAATGGAGTGTAGTGGACTGGAGTAGAGTGGAATGTAGTGGAGTTGAGTGGAAGGGAATGGAATGGAATGAGATGGAATGGAATGGAATGGAATGGAATGAGATGGAATGGAATGGAATGGAATGGAATGGAATGGAATGGAATGGAATGGAATAGAATGGAGTGGAGTGGAGTGGATTGGAATGCGAAATCCTCAATAAAATACTACCAAACCGAATCCAGCAGCAAATCAAAAAGCTTATCCACCATGATCAAATGGGCTGCATCCCTGGGATGCAAGGCTGGTTCAACATACACAAATCAATACACATAATCCATCATACAAACAGAACCAACGTCAAAAACTACATGATTATCTCAATAGATGCAGAAAAGCCCTTTGACAAAATTCAACAACCTTCGTGCTAAAAACTCTCAATAAATTAGATATTGATGGGATGTATCTCAAAATAATAAGAGCTATTTATGTCAAACCCACAGCCAATATCATACTGAATGGGCAAAACCTGGAAGCATTCCCTTTGAAAATCTCAGTTACCTTTCTTTTGGATATGTGTGTGAGGAAAGAGTACCTACAAACTACCCTTTTAGTTAAATGCCATATACAATAAATATTAATACCTACAGTCCTCATGTTGTACATTAGATCCCTCAACTTGTTAATTCTACATATCTGCAACTTTGCATCCTTTGAATTCTCTCTCTCCATTTTCTCTTCTCACCCCCAGCCCCTGGTAACCACTGTTTTATACTCTATCTCTGTGTATTTAACTTTTTGTTTTTTTTTGTCTTGAGAAGTTTTTGGGGACTTTCAGCTAGGAGATAATATCTTCTGAGTCTTGGGTATCTCAAATTATGACAGATAAGAAGTTTTACTTGTCTGCAGAGCAGAGTGCCAGTGCATAATTTTATGCCGAAGAGGGAATAAAGAGAATTCTCTAATTAAAATTTGAATCAGAAATATGGCTATTTTTATGTACAACAATCTCTAAGGCTTCTTGGAAAGGAACTAGCTGCCTGATTTTTTTTCATTTGAATCCACTAATACATGAAGAGGATGATTCTCCCATACCAATCACAAGAATGATATCTGTAGAATCAAAAGTTGAAATCCTATTATCCTAGAACTTTTTTCAGAAAACTTGAACATGTATTGAAATGTCATGCTGGTCATATATTTTATACCAATGAGGAATTTACTTATTATATACTTTAGATTTTTAGCCCTTTCCCTGCCCACCAGAAATGTTTCTTTTGAATCCAATTTGGTCCTCAAAGATTTAAATGTTAAGGAATGTATAGGGGTTTATTTTTTCTTCTTTTTTTTTGTCAAGCTATTGTATATTTTTACTTTACCTGTTTGGGTATGTTGTTACTATTTGTTTAGACTCTCATACCAGAAAAAAATATATAGTGAATTTTACATGTATGGAGTCTTCATTAATCTGTATAAACTGACAAGTTTAGAATATCAAAGTCAACATTGTAAAAAATAAAGTGACATTTTATCTGGTCTATCTCCTTGCAAATAAAAGAACAATAAATTCTGTACTATTATGAAATATATGAGCTTGAAAATTTTTCAAGTGCCTTGTATAGAATGGCCTTCGAATTCAAGGTATAAACTACAACAAAACACTTTCGAGATCTAGTTTGATTGCAGAGTGCATTCTTACTCATTTATATATTCTCTGCAATTTCTGATTCAAGATATTTCACAATTCTAAAGGAAAACCAAAATAGAATAATAATTACAAAACAAAATAAAAAGTAATTGAGGAAGATATATGAGCAACTTATTCTTGACAACTAGCTTTTTAACAAACAGAAAAGTGCACTAAAAATACTGCCTAATTGTTTAAAGTAGGCTGAGATCTGACTGTATCCCCTAAGTGAGTGTCATAAAGAAAAAATTACCTTTGAGAGAGCACAGTGGTTAAATTTAAAAGATTTATTGTTTAACTTCAGGAAGACTTTCAGTAACTTTTTATAAATTGTATACAGTTAATGGAAGACACGCTATGCTTCTTGTAAGAATTTGTTCCAAATCACTGTGTATAATTAATGGCTTGTCTACATATTTTTTCAATAAAACTGTTCATGCAGAATTTTAAGTAGGCACTTTCAGTACCAGAATGAATGTATCTTTGTGAAGATACCATTTATGTACCATAACACCCAAAGCATAACGAGGAGATTTTGATACACTGTAGATTTAGAACTGAGTTGGAAAACAAAACTTCAAGATACTGCCTTGTCAGCACAAAGCAAATAAATTCATCACTGTCAGTTGAGATTTAAATTCACAAACTTATATGCAATAAAATCAAAGTAATTTTATTATAAGTTTTTTGACACCAGATTATATGTGGTAAATAATTTACTTTCTAATCAAGCAATTGACACATATAAACCTGAAATAGAGAGTTTTGCCTTTTAATTAGATTCATTGTTAAGCAAAGAATGGTTGAAGCAGCAGTTGAGAATTATCTTTTTCTCTTTTTGCTGTTCTTACAAGGACAGCTTCTAGAATTGTTTTCAAAACAATAGAACAGAAAATTTCACTTACTCATTTAATTTAACTTTTGTTAAAGTACTTTGCCAAAATTAGCAAACTATGAAAGGAAAGTTTGCCTTTTCAATATATGTGTAAGTGGCAAGTAAAAGTTGGTCTTAAATCACGTGATCTCATAGAAATAACATGGGATCAAAAAGAGTTCTGAAGGTGTTCAGGAAATGCCAGTCCTGAATGGATTACTTTGGTGTACTGATTACATTGAACTGAAAATATTTGAAAAACAACAAATGCGGGACATGCTTTCTCTGCACTCCCTTTACGTTCCTCAAGAGAGATCCTCCAAAAGGAACTTTCAATACCAGAATGAATGTATCTTTGTAAAGATACCATTTATCTACCATAACATCCAAAGCATGATGAGGAGATTTTTATACACTGAAGATTTAGAACTGAACTGGAAAACAAAGCTTCAAGATACTGTCTTGTGAGCACAAAGACATTCATCTCCTTCCTAGGAGTTTCATCAGCCAGGGAAAATTGACTCCTTATATCACAGGAGACAAGACTAAGGGTCCATACCACACCAAGACAGACTGCCACAAACTATCATCTATTCTCCTAAGGGTCTGGTCATCTTTCCCAAAAGTCATTTGCTCTCCCCTAAGTTTCCTACATTCTTCCTCCTGCCTTCCCTATATGCTCCTAAATCTCACTGGGGTTTTTTCTTGGTGGTGTTTTGTTTGTTTTGTTTTGTTTTGTTTTTGATTCCACTTTTCTTTCCTGTGATTCCCCCATGCGTGTAATAAATGTGTATACCTTTTCTTCTTTTGACATGCCTGTTATCCATTTATTTCATAGACTCAGTTATCATACCTTCAGAGGGTAGAGGGAAAGTTCTCCAAGTCCTACAGTTCCAAAAGAAAATAGCTAGTAACTGCAAATGCAAAAGTCATATAAACTTTGAGACAAAGTTAGCTTCTTATACGACATGTTCAGAAAGAAGAGGTGTGTTGCACACCAAGGGACATTTCCCTGGTCTTAGTTCCTAAGTTTCTCTGAGAAGAAGCAGTTATACTACAGCAGTTAAACACCTGACTCCCAAATTATAAAAGCCTAAGTGTTGATTTTAAATCATTAATTGTCACCTGTGAATCATAAAGTCTGAACTCTTTAAATTGCAAACACACATATAAAAGGGATTCTTATACAAGGATCCATGAGTGGAACTGCAAAGTTTTGTCAAAATCTCTATATATGTTTTCTTTTTAAGGGTCATAAATTTCAATATATGTTAAAAGATATCTGGAGCTAGTAAAGGTTAATAAGCATTTTCAGTTTTGTGCTGAAATTGGCAAATCATACCTTTTCTTCCTCCAACACACCCCCTCCCGCCCCAGCACACCACTGGTTAATCTTTATTTTCAGGAGAGAAAAAGATGTTTCATATTAATAAAGGTAAATTATACACTTGTTTGTTTTATACTTTTCCACCTATTAAGCTTAATCGTGTTTTAATAATATATAATTGAATACATTAACATTTAGATGTTAGTAAACTAATAACAAATGTTCATTATTTCTCTTGAGTAGAGGAATACAAATTTTGCACCCATTGTTGTATAGAATGTTTTTTAAAATCTCATTCAATCCCTTAGAAGTTTAAGATTTTTTTTCAAGAATTTATATATAAAATTTTTACTTAGAAGCAGATAGCTCACAAAAAGTATGGAGTTTTTTTGGATTATAAATAAACTATTCCACTCACCAAGATGCTGAGACATCCTACTTTCTGGTATTTTGAAATGAAAACAACACACAAGAATGTGACGATGAAGCAAGTGAAAATTAAAAGGGTACAGACTTTAGAAGTATCATAAGCTAAAAATAAAGTGAAACACATCTGTAAAGGAACCAAAAGCCCAGGCAGATATAATACAGTAAATTATGAGAAGCTAAAAAAATGAGGGGGTGACAAACAATAAAGTGAAAATCTCTGATAAAGCCAAAACTATTTGAATGGCAGTCAACAAAACAGAAGAAAAAAATGACACTCATAACAAGGCAGAACTATGGAAATGCATCCCCAGGGGTAAAATAATAGAGTTGTGAATTAGTGGAGGCGAATCACCAATACTGGCCAACTAAAGCCCGCTAACATAATTCAAAGGATGGAGAAATTCTGTAGCTGAAGACAAAAAGTCTGAAATATATTATGGTATAGTCAAATGAGTGTCATTTCTAATATACACACTTATTTTTCAAGAGTTGATAATATGAAGTAAAAATTTAGTATGCAAATTCAAATTTTCCATTTGTTGAGTAATTCATTTTTATTAAATATTTTCCAACAATTAAACTAAAGTGGTACCAGAACAGAGTAGACATTCTGAGCTTTCACTTTACAAAAGCTACAAATAAATCTACATACTTTTTAAGGATATAAACAAAGTCAGAGCCTGTGTGATATTTCAATAAACAATTGGAGAAAATTTTTCTTTAAGAATAGATTATATACATATTGACCTCTTTGAGATCCTTAGTTTTTTTCTTTTTTTTGTGTGTGTGTGGACATATGTTTTCATTTCCTTTTTTAATTATCATTATTATACATTAAGTTTTAGGGTACATGTGCAGAACGTGCAGGTTTGTTACATATGTATACATGTGCCATGTTGTTGTGCTGCACCCATTAACTCATCATTTAACATTAGGTATATCTTCTAATGCAATTCCTCCCCCCTCCCCCCACCCCACAACAGTCCCCATTGTGTGATGTTACCCTTCCTGTGTCCATGTGTTCTCATTGTTCAATTCCCACCTATGAGTGAGAACATGTGGTGTTTGGTTTTTGTCCTTGTGATAGTTTGCTGAGAATGATGGTTTCCAGCTTCATCCATGTCCCTACAAAGGACATGAACTCATCATTTTTTATGGCTGCATAGGATTCCATGGTGTATATGTGCCACATTTTCTTAATCCAGTCTATCATTGTTGGACATTTGGGTTGGCTCCAAGTCTTTGCTATTGTGAATAGTGTCACAATAAACATACGTGTGCATGTGTTTTTAGAGCAGCATGATTTATAATCCTTTGGGTATATACCCAGTAATGGGATGGCTGGGTCAAATGGTATTTCTAGTTCTAGATCCCTGAGGAATCCCCACACCGACTTTCACGATGTTTGAACTAGTTTACAGTCCCATCAACAGTGTAAAAGTGTTCCTATTTCTCCACATCCTCTCCAGTACCTGTTGTCTCCTGACATTTTAATGACTGCCATTCTAACTGGTGGGAGATGGTATCTCATTGTCGTTTTGATTTGCATTTCTCTGATAGGCAGTGATGGTGAGCATTTTTTCATGTGTTTTTTGGCTGCATAAATGTCTTCTTTTGAGAAGTGTCTGTTCATATCCTTCTCCCACTTTTTGATGGGGTTGCTTTTTTCTTGTAAATTTGTTGGAGTTCATTGTAGATGCTGGATATTTGCCCTTTGTCAGGTGAGTAGATTGCAAAACTTTTCTCCCATTCTGTAGGCTGCCTGTTCACTCTGATGGTGGTTTCTTTTGCTGTGCAGAAGCTCTTTAGTTTAATTAGATCCCATTTGTCAATTTTGGCTTTTGTTGCCATTGCTTTTGGTGTTTTAGACATGAAGTCCCTGCCCATGCCTATGTCCTGAATGGTATTGCCTAGTTTTGTTCCAGGGTTTTTATGGTTTTAGGTCTAACATGTAAATCTTTAATCCATCTTGAATTAATTTTTGTATAAGGTGTAAGGTGTAAGGAAGGGAACCATATGGCTAGCTAGTTTTCCCAGCACCATTTATTAAATAGGGAATCCTTTCCCTAGTTCTTGTTTCTGTCAGGTTTGTCAACGATCAGATAGCTGTAGACATGTGGCATTATTTCTGAGGGCTATGTTCTGTTCCATTGGCCTCTATCTCTCTTTTGGTACCAGTACCATGCTGTTTTGGTCACTGTAACCTTGTAGTATAGTTTGAAGTCAGGCAGCGTGGTACCTCCAGCTTTGTTCTCTTGGCTTAGGATTGACTTGGCAATCCAGGCTCTTTTTTGGTTCCGTATGAAGTTTAAAGTAGTTTTTTCCAATTCTGTGAAGAAAGTCATTGGTAGCTTGATGGGGATGGCATTGAATCTATAAATTACCTTGGGCAGTATGGCCATTTTCACAATATTGATTCTTCCTACCCATGAGCATGGAAGGTTCTTACATTTGTTTGTATCTTATTTCATTGAGCAGTGGTTTGTAGTTCTCCTTGAAGTGGTCCTTCACATCCCTTGTAAGTTGGATTTCTAGGTATTTTATTCTCTTTGAAGCAATTGAGATCCTTATTGTGAGAGTCAGTTCAGAATCTGGGGTTTTGTTTTGTTTTGAGATGGAGTATCTCTCTGTTACCAGGCTGGAGTACAGTGGCACAGTCTCGGCTCATGCAACCTCTGCCTCCCAGGTCCAAGTGATTCTCCTGCCTCAGCCTCCCAAGTAACTGGGACTACAGGC
Source organism: Homo sapiens (assembly GCF_000001405.40). Classification (NCBI taxonomy): domain Eukaryota; kingdom Metazoa; phylum Chordata; class Mammalia; order Primates; family Hominidae; genus Homo; species Homo sapiens. Next base: position 142,827 of record NT_187506.1, on the reverse strand, counting down.
ACGTGCCACCATGCCCAGCTAATTTTTGTATTTTTTTTAGTAGAGATGGGGTTTCACCATGTTGGCCAGGATGGTCCCGATCTGTTGACCTTGTGATTTGCCTGCCTCAGCCTCCCAAAGCGCTGGGATCACAGACGTGAGCCACTGCGCCCAGCCCAGAATCTGGGTCTTAACCAGATTTGCCATTATAAAATGAAATGAAACCAAAACCACCAGTCAATATCTGTAGCAGTGTCATTGTTGGGGAGCATGCACGTTTGTTTGAGCTTACTTATATATACAGAGCTGTTTAGCTTAATCTTTAAATTGAAAATTTTTAGTATTTTTAGAATGTTTTAGATATTTTGATGAATAAATTTTGTGTTAACAAACTACTATTAAAAAAATATAGGTTGTATATTTCTGAACACATTGGCAGATGTAAATGACAAAGTTATATTCACACAATCAGTTTTTCTTGCATAGAATTGACATTTTGTCAAAAAGTTAAAATCTTTGAAATGTATTTTCTGTCCTCATCTTTCCCCTTTTGAGCATTTTTCCCCCTGAGTTGGTTATAAAATGTTCCCTAACTTCAGGCATCTGATTAAATTTTGTGTTTTCTCCCTTCCTACCAACTCATATGGATTGGTAAAGATCTGATAGAAGACAATTGCCAAAAATCAATCAAATATGTTTTAAATTAAACTTCTCCAAGATAATATTCATATTAATCCTTCTTTAACTGCTGAATGAGGAATAAGTGTTCACTGACCCTTAAAATCCTAAAACTTAATCAGCTCACTGGAGTGGATGAATGGATATTTGTCCAGATGAGAATGCTTAAGGTCTACTTCAAGGAATTCATAATAGTAAAAATGTCCTTTTCTTCCATCAGAATCTTCATCCTGGATCTTTTCATCCTTATTTTTCTACTAGCTCTCCTTCTCCAAATACACTGACTTGGAACCCCAGTTTCAGTGGTGGACTGCGTGGATTTGATTCTAAGCTATGCTATAATGAGAAAGTAGCTCTAACCCTATTCTCATTTTCTTCACATGTAATATAGAAATCATCATCAGACAATATACAGATAGGGGCCAGTTATTTCACAGATAATAATAGGTGAAAATGGAGAGTATGTGGGTGTAGACATGGGAAAGTGAGTTTAAATGGTTTCAGGAGTCTGTGGAAGTTGTCTTTGGATGATTCAATGTTCTCAGGGAAGCACAACCAAAAAGACATTGAGGATTTCTGGGGAAGTGTTAGGGATTAGAGACAGGATAAGGTACAAAACTAGGTAAATTAGAGAGTGAATAGATTGGAACATATGTAGTATGATTGATTGATAGGCAGCACTGAGATTCTCATTTTCAAGTGGGATATTTTTCAATTTGATCCATATAGCTAGTTGCTCAAATATATGTGGGGATTTGGTGGAAATTTGGATCTAACCAGGGTTATTTTCCTGGTTAGATTCAGCAAAGTGAAAGAGAAACAAGGAAGTTGAAGTTTCCCGGGAATGGTTGGCCATGGAATTTAGGCAGGAGAACAGGAAATAGAGTACATCAAGTAGGTAAGGGTCATTGTGAATATGATAAAATAATAGTTTGGAGGTCTCAGAGAGATTGAAAAATTTTATGTCAGCGTATGAAAGGGAATGATTAAAGGAGGAGCTCAGAGAATGGGATGAATGAAATTGTGACTACAGAGAAGTTCCTATTATAAGTAACGACGATGCTTCACTCAGTCCGTCTGGAAGTGTGGTCCCTGTGCTAGCAGCATCAGCATCACCTGGGAACTTACTAGAACTGCATATTCTCAGGTTACACCCCCAGATCTACCAAATCTGAAATTCCAATAGCAGGTCTCAGCAATCTCTTATTGTAACACAACTGTAGGCAATTTTGAGGCACACAGTAGTTAGCACAACTGGTCTAGGCTATGTCCTATTTGGTCTTCCTCCCCAGTTCACAGTACAGAGCTCCTAAAACTTGTAATTTCCTGATAGAGATGAGAGGACCATCCTTTACTAGTCATAAGTCCCTCTTAGCCATACCTGAGTTTATGCTATTGACATGACATGAGTGGTGGCTGGAGACCCGTATAGCTTCAGGGTGGGTGCTGGACATCAGAAACATGAAGGCATAACTAGATGGTTGAAACTGTCAGCTCTCTCCTCCATCACCTCTGAGGTGCTGGGAGCGTGATACAGTGATATACTTAGAGGTCATATGGCAGCTTTGTGCCCCTTTTCACCATACCTGGCCCTATGTGTCTCTTCTATTTGACAGTTCCTGATTTGTATCAGACAGTAACTGTAAGCAAAGTGCTTTCTTGGGTTCTGTGCGCCATCTTAGCAAATTATAGAACCTGGGGAAGGAATCCATGGAAGTCCTAATTTATAGACAGTTGGTCAGGAGTATGGGAGGCCGACAACTCCTCTCTAATGGTGGGGGTCAGTCTTGTGGGCCTGAACCCTGAACTTTTGGGATCTGATGTTATCTCCAGATAGATAGTCTCAGGATTGAATTGAATTGTAGGACACCATTTGGTGTCCTGAGAGTTGAAGAATTGATTGGGGTGAGACTAAATCTACAAATTTGATCTCAGAAGTTTGAGTAGAAATAATTCTTTTGGAAAACATTATCGTTAGATCAAAGGTGTTCATAGAACTGAGAGATGAAAATGGCAAAGAGTCATCTATGATTACACATTGTTGACATAAACTAGAATTAAGACAAGAATATGTCAAAGAGAGTTACATTGAGCCAGGGATAAAAATAGTCAATCAATTGATTGATTAGAATTTAGTAAATGCTATTTTTTAAAAAAATAATATTTACTTAATTAATGGAGATACTTAATTATCTCCATTTTGACTTTAAATTTATAATTAAAAAATTGCTATTTTATCTATTTTCCATAAAAGGAAATTGAAAAGCAATAGCAAAATGCTTCGACAGAAAATCTGCACTTCTTTTTCCCAAGAGGAAGAATGGCCAACTATCTTAAGCACAAAGTTAGAAAAACTTTCATAATTTTTTAAGTTGTCATATTTAATAGCTTTGAACAAGTTGAATTGTTAATTAGACTGCCCAGGGAATGGAGCCATCTAATATAATTTCCTTACTATTTAGATAAGATCTTTGTTGTTGAAAATCTTAATCATTTTTAATGATCCTGTTTTCAGAGCCTGATATTAATGATTTGTGAAATTCATTAAATGTAGTTATGCATCTGATTTGAAAATCATGAGGGAGATTTTTGGTCAGATATGCATAGAATATGTATGTCATTAGACATATGTCCCTGCTACCCATGTCACAACCTTTATGTCTACTCTTGAATTGAGGTTTTGCTACGTTTTATTTTTGAGGTTTAAGAATTATTCATTTAGGTATCTGGGTGCAGCGCACCAGCGTGGCACATGTATACATATGTAACTAATCTGCACAATGTGCACATGTACCCTAAAACTTAAAGTATAATAATAAAAATAAAATAAAATAAAAAAGAATTATTCATTTAACTGACGAAAAATTGTGTTTTTCTTGTTAAAATAGAGCCCAATTTATCTTTTCTATTTTTCATGGAGACATGAAAGGATGTGAATTTGGAATCCGAGAAACCTGAGTTCCACCACGCTTTCTTCCTCTTGCAAGCCATGAAATCCACAGTGGGTTAGTGGATATTACAAAACCTCTGGTCCCACCTTATTAAGATGGAAAAAAATAATACTAATTGAAAGAATGAATGTGATAATGAGAAGAAATGGCATCAATAAAGTTTCTGGAACACAGTAAGTTCTAACAAATGCTAGTTCTTTTCTTTCATTATTCAAAATCTAAATAGAAGCCAGTTGGTAATTCCAAGATAATAGTATGAAGACCAAAAAAAAAGTTTGTTAACTGACCTTCAACCATTGAGACCTTATTTTATAGGAAGCAAAATTAACAAATATTTTCTCCCTTCTACAAATGTACACCCTCTGAGAAAGAGAGACAGTGTTCCAATCAAGACGATGACATTATTCTGTGCACACATAGGAAGGGAAGAAGAATAAGAAAGAACCTTTAAAAAGACAATTTTAGATATGTACCCTATTTTTACCAGCAATAACATTTTGTAGAACTTACAGCATACAAAATAGACCTTAAATGGACTCAGTGCTGAGAAATTTTTATAAGGCTGCTTTATTTTCTTCTATGGTAAATCTAGGAACCAATAAAATAGCTTTGATAATTCACTCATTACATTCTTTCCTAACTAAACTATTTACATTATAAACTTTGTTGATATGCTATGCTTTTGCATTAATAATTCTCATGTGTCTCATTTGTGAATATATGAAAACTAGTTGTAAAATAAGGAAAGTGTAATTTTGAAACATCTTCAAAAACAGTTGCATAATTTAACAAATGTTTATAAATTTTCATCCTTACTCTAAAACCATAGATATCCTAAAAGTGATTGAAGGTAAAATCATTTCTTTAAAGAACTGGATTTCTCACCATGAGTTATTTTATCTCCATACAAACTGTAGTAGTGTTATACAATGGTTAAGAAGAAATTACTTAAAAGTGAGCATAAAGATACAGCTTATTAACACTTCATTTTATGGATGAGACCTGAAAAATTAAACTTTTCTTCTAGAGACAAGTTGGAGTTAGTTGTGTATATAGAGTGTGAATACATAGTGTCTATATTTTACTGTCATTATTTAAACAGAAACATGTAATTTGCACTTCAAAAACCTACTACAAATTAGCTGTGTCATTTAGAAGTGTCAAAATTATCTCATTAATGATCATATAGGCTTTTTGCTCATTGTAATGAGATGTTCTTATAAACCAAATTTGAAAGACAAAGACAGAGTTTGGAGTCTTTAATTCTTGGTAAAATCAGTAGCTCTATTTAGGGCTATATTTGCAAAATACTATTTCTACTCAAGCATGTTTTTATTTACAAGGCACTTCACAAATGTTGACCACAAAGATGCTTCTACCTAGCAGAAATAATTATAGTTACATATAGTTGTCTAGGAATATCTTAAACATGGGGTATTAAAATAACTTTCAAGAACAAGAAGAAATGTTATACCAGGCATTTTTGCAACTAGTGCTCTATTTCAGTGCAATATTTGTGGCAATTAAAAAACATAAATGGCTTGGATATATAGCTAAGATATCAAAGGAAAAATATGCAAAGGCATGATTATTTTATAAATGTGCCGCATATGTGACTTGAGGTACAAATCCTCTAAGTTTAAAATTGTCTTTTTAAAAAAGAAATCAAAACAGACAAGTGGGCAATGAGTTACGGATACTATTATAAGGTACCCTGATAAACTAGTAAGAAGACGACTTTTGGTACTGAAAATTCCAATTAACCACATGCCCCCATTAAGACCATGATCACTGCCAATTTTTACTCACAAAGGCTGGAGCTAGAGTTATATGGAATTCCATATGTATCTAAACCATAGATTTATCAATTATCACTTAAACACAACTTGGAGGACACTATCCAGAATTTGTAGGGCTTGGCCTTATTCTAGAGAAACATACACTGGAATAGGGAGTTGGATTTTAAATTCAGTCTTAAATCTGTTGAAAATAATGCATTTTTTTTCTCAGAGATGAGATATGGTTCAACTCTTTTGACTTATTTTAGATTTGATATTATACAGTTTGAACACCATGGAGATTTACTAATCTGAATGAACACATACCAAATTAGTCTTTGCTCCAGTCTCAAAATCTGAGATTAATTCTGGCTGCTGAAGAAATTTTCCAGTGTTAGGAGTATGTTTCAATGCTGGTGACCGGTACTACTTTCTGGTAAACTGTAGATGACATGTGTGCTTTCATTGCCTGAACTCACTTTGTAGAACACCATTAAATGAAAATCATCACCAGCAATTTGGGAGGCTAAGGCGGGCAGATCATTTGAGGTCAGGAGTTTGAGACCAGCCTGGCCAACATGATGAAACCCCATCTCTACTGAAAATACAAAAACTTATCCAGACATGGCGGGATGCACCTGGAATCCCAGCTACTTGGGAGGCTGAGGCAGGAAAATCGCCTGAACCCAGGATGTGAAGGTTGCAGTGAACAGAGATGTTGCCATTGCACTCCAGCCTGGGCAACAGAGTGAGACTTCATCTCCAAAAAAAGGAAAAAAAAGAGAGAGAGAGAGAGAAATTTATCAGTGTTCAGTGACTCTTTTTTTTCATTCTGATAAACTATTACACAGAAAAAGAAATGTATCCATTATGGACAATTAAAAGGGCTATACAATCTCTCTCATTGTATGATTCTAGTTTTCTTTATTTTTCTTTTCTTTTTTTCTTTTTTTTTTAATACAGGATCTCACTCTCTCACCCAGGCTGGAATGCAGTGGCTCTATCTTGACTCACTGCAACCTCAGCCTCCTGGGTTCAAGCTATTCTCCTGCCTTAGCCTCTTGAGTAGCTAGGAATAAAGGCATTCACCACCACGCCAGCTAATTTGTGTATTTTTTTAATACAGGTGGGGTTTTGCCATGTTGCCCAGGCTGGTCTTGAACCCCTGACCTCAAATGATCCTCCCGCCTCGGCCTCCCTAAGTGTTGGCATTACAGGCATAAGCCACCATGCTTGGCCTTATTCTGTTTTTTAACACAATTCTTATTACTTCTGTTTTAATTTTACAAAGCCATAGGTTTTTAATCTGGGAAACCTTTGAGAAAACATCCAGATAAATTTATAAATAGAAAAATAAATTCAGATACATAGAATTAAGTTTATGATCTAACAAGTGGGTGGTAACTGAAAACTTTCCAAGTTCCATAAACTGAAGTGAAAGGATCACTTTCCTGAAAATATTACAAAGGCTTGATAATTACCTGGATTGTACTAAAACCTACACAATCTAGTATATTCTATAGCAGCAATTCATAAAGACAGCTTCACTTACCATGTAGAATTTATACATACACTATATTTAAGGAATGCTTTACTTGCTATTGGAGTAGGATAATAAACTCCCAGCAGAACTGACTTGCATGAATGCCAATTAAACTATCATTGATGTAGAAATTAAACAATATATTAAACTATTGAGCCCCAGATGTGTGAGAGACAGAGAAAAACTTCAAAAGAGTTCAGCTACCAAATCCCTTCCTCAATAGCTCTTTGAGTCTCAAGACAGTTTCAACCACACACACCCTCAGAGTCTTATGGTCAAAACAACATTTGACTGCAGATCTAAAGTAAGCAAACATTTGAAAAGAAACAATCGAAGATCTATGTCTGTAGTTATAGTCAAGGAGGTCCACCTACTGGTGGGCGAGCATGGCAAGGATAGGGACTAAGCCAAATGATGGGTTTACCAAAACAGAAACAAGAGAAGTCATTGGAAGCACAGTCCAGGTTATAACAGGAGCCCAGGCACTTGATGTGGGAACCCTATTTGTCTCATTCAGCACCTAGAGTTTTAACGTCCTATGAGGCACAGCTAATGCCCTTCATTATTTTTTTGTAATTGACTGCATAGTTTAGAACTATGCCTTGAATTTAATATCTATCTGTTGAATAAATGAATTAATAATGATGAAAATCTGTCCACAGGTTATGTGCAGTACTGAAGAGCAACTTCAGCTATTGAGGTATCTATCAGAAGTCTTACTCTCCAAAAAGCCTCTGGTTAGTTACTGATATACGTTGCTGATAATTTCACTTTCACAATGTAGGGGAAGCAGGAATGTTATCTGGCCTCTTGGCTCCTCTTCCTTTGCCTTCCACAGATCTCTCTGCTGGTTCACAGAGGAACACTTTCGTGGCTCTCAGTTCATTTTGCAATTCTGCTAGAATCTCATTCCATCCTCAGTTGTAACTAGCTTGTCCTTCACCCAATGCTTATTTACAGAGGGACAGATAGCAAGAAGAAATCGCACTCTGGATTACAAAGTGGGAAGACGCACCCCTTGGCCAGAATGCCTGCCTCCTATGTTCATGAAGGATATTTCTAATTGATCTCGGCACTCTTTTCCATTGAGCCCATGTCCCAAATTGGCCATGAGTTAGGGAGAGGGCTCTAGAGTGGGAAAGGTATACCCAAAACTTCCCTAATCTGACTATCAAGCCTAAAAAATTAAACTTTCAATATAACATCCCTTGTTTCTCCAACTTGGAGTGCCTGATGGTGTGGGAAGCCCCTACTCATAAAAATTCATAGTTGAAGATTGTTGGTAATTTTGCCCAACCTCCTTCTTTTTTTTTATTATACTTTAAGTTCTAGGGTACATGTGCACAAAGTGCAGGTTCATTACCTATGTATACATGTGACATGTTGGTGTGCTGCACCCATTAACTCGTCATTTACATTAGGTATATCCCCTAATGCTTTTCCTTCCCTAGCCCGTCACCCCACAACAGGCCCCAGTGTGTGATGTTCCCCTTCCTGTGTCCATGTGTACTCATTGTTTAATTCCCACCTATGAGTGAGAACATGTGGTGTTTGTTTTTTTGTCCTTGTGATAGTTTGCTGAGAATGATGGTTTCCAGCTTCATCCTTGTCCCTACAAAGGACATGAACTCATCATTTTTATGGCTGCATAGTATTCCATGGTGTATATGTGCCACATTTTCTTAATCCAGTCTATCATTGTTGGAAATTTGGGTTGGTTCCAAGTCTTTGCTATCGTCAGTAGTGCCTCAATAAACTCCTTCTTTCTTTGCCTAGTTACACCTCAATGCAACCTCCTGGCAGGCCAGCCTTAAGCCCAGCAGTACAACCATGCATCTAAGCTGAGTTCTCATCAGAGCCAACTTCAATTATAAACAACTGAGATGATGCCAGAGGCCAGAAACCCTGAGAACCCAATTTGCTGTCATCACCGCAGCTGAAACAAGGCGCTTGGCATCTAGAAAAGCTGATCTGTAGGAAATTTCCAATAGAGTTCAATTTTTTCTAAGTTTAAAGTGTACAATATCATCAAGGTCAGACACTCGAGATAAAACTAGGCTTGTGTTTAAATATAATAAAAATATTTGAGGAATAGTAAGAGTGGTGACTACTTTTACACAGGAATGTTTCAAATAAATTGTTTTTTTCTTGTGCCTTTTAAATTTTGTGATTTGTCAATGAGATGCTGACATATTTTTAATGAAGCATGCCTTGTAAAATAATAAGTGAATGAAAACTACACAGTAATATTTACATCAACAAAGCTAGAAGACTGTATGTCTCAAGAGGCTCCATCATCTACCCAGTGGCCACTTGACCAAATTAAGATCCAAATACCAAAAAGAAAAGTAATTAAAATTTGTGTTGTATGCCTTATAAGACCAAACCTATAAAATGAGGGGAAACTTCACAATTACTTCTAATTTGCTCTGTGGAATTGTAACAGATGGATTATAAAGATGATTCCATGATAAACATCTAAATGTGGTTACTACCTTCTGTGCTTTCTTGGTTCATATTTTTATTTTTTTTCTTTATAAACAGACAATTCATTCTTATCTATGGCAATGCAAACTTTTCAGATGTATTGAATATGTCATAGTTTTTTTTCTATTGTAGGCATCTCTAAAAAGGGTATAGAAAACAAACAGAGAAAAATCTGGTGTTGGAAAGGAGAGAGAAATAAAGCTTTAAAGGAATGAAGATTAGAGCTTTCTGGAGATAAAAATTCTTAGAAGATACAAAAGCTAGTTACTGAATTAGATGAAGGTTCTTTTTCAGTTTTTCCCAGTTGTTCACCTCTTAGAAGGCACATATTCACAGCAGAAAAGAAAAAAAGGGTTAAAAAGAAAATACCTCAGTGTAGTGAGACTGTAATTTCATGAGGGCATTACTGAAGACTCACTTTTTCCAGCATCACTCAGCATGGTATTATGCATGTGTGTAATGTAAAGGAAAGTGAATATGCATTCTTGGATGGGTGATCAAATCGTAATTCCAGAATGTAATCAGAAGCTGATTCATTATCCTCTTGAGATTTCAGAATCTTTTCATCAGGAATTAAAATTCAGAAGAGGGTAAATGTATCTAATCATTTGAAAGTTAAAAATTAGTGGATGGAGGCAACATGGCCGAATAGGAACAGCTCCAGTCTACACCTCCCAGCGTCAGTGATGCAGAAGACAGGTGATATCTGCATTTCCAACTGAGGTACCAGGTTCATCTCAATGGGGAGTGCTGGACAGTGGGTGCAGCACACCATGCATGAGCCAAAGCAGGGCAAGGCATCACCTCACCTGGGAAGCACAATGGGTCAGGGAATTCCCTTTCCTAGTCAAAGAAAGGGGTGACAGATGGCACCTGGAAAATCAGGTCACTCCCACCCTAATACTGCGCTTTTCCAACAGGCTTATCAAATGGCACACCAGGAGATTGTATCCAGCACATGGCTTGGAGGATCCTACACCCACGGAGCCTCACTGTTTGCTAGCACAGCAGTCTGAGATCAAACTGCAAGGTTACAGTGGGGCTGGGGGAGGGGCGCCCGCCATTGCTCAGGCTTGAGTAAGTAAACAAAGCAGCCAGGAAGTTCGAACTGGGTGGAGCCTAACACAGCTCAAGGAGGCCAGCCTGCCTCTGTAGGCTCCACCTCTGGGGGTAGGGCACAGACAAACAAAAGACTGCAATAACCTCTGCAGACTTAAATGTCCCTGTCTGACAGCTTTGAAGAGAGTAGTGGTTCTCCCAGCTTGTAGCTTGAGATCTGAGAACAGGCAGACAGCCTCCTCAAGTGAGTTCCTGACCCCTGAGTAGCCTAACTGGGAGGCACCCCCCTGTAGGGGCAGACTGACATCTCACATGGCCGGGTACCCCTCTGAGTCAAAACTTCCAGAGGAACGATCAGGCAGCAGCATTTGCAGTTCACCAATATCCACTGTTCTGCAGCCACCGCTGCTAATACCCAGGCAAATAGTGTCTGGAGTAGACCTCCAGTAAACTCCAACAGAACTGCAGCTGAGGGTCCTGACTGTTAGAAGGAAAACTAACAAACAGAAAGGACATCCACACCAAAACCCCATCTGTATGTCACCATCATCAAGGACCAAAGGAAGATAAAACCACAAAGATGGAAAAAAACAGAGCAGAAAAACTGGAAACTCTAAAAATCAGAGTGCCTCTCCTCCTGCAAAGGAATGCAGCTCCTCACCAGCAATGGAACAAAGCTGGACGGAGTATGACTTTGACGAGTTGAGAGAGGAAGGCTTCAGAAGATCAAAGTACTCCGAGCTAAAGGAGGAAGTTCAAACAAATGGCAAAGAAGTTAAAAATTTGAAAAAAAAATTAGACGAATGGATAACTAGAATAACAAATGCAGAGAAGTCCTTAAAGGACCTGATGGAGCTGAAAACCATGGCACAAGAACTACATGACAAATGCATAAGCCTCAGTAACCGATTTGATCAACTGGAAGAAAGAGTATCAGCGATGGAAAACGAAATGAATGAAATAAAGCATGAAGAGAAGTTTAGAGAAAAAGGAATAGAAGAAATGAACAAAGCCTCCAAGAAAATATGGGACTATGTGAAAAGACCAAATGTATGTCTAATTGGTGTACCTGAAAGTGATGGGGAGAATGGAACCAAGTTGGAAAACACTCTGCAGGATATTATCCAGGAGAACTTCCCCAATCTAGTAAGGCAGGCCAACATACAAATTCAGGAAATACAGAGAATGCCACAAAGATACTCCTCGAGAAAAGCAACTCCAAGACACATAATTGTCAAATTCACCAAAGTTGAAATGAATGAAAAAATTTTAAAGGCAGCCAGAGAAAAAGGTCAGGTTACCCACAAAAGGAAGCCCATCAGACTAACTGCTGATCTCTCCTCAGAAACTCTACAAGCCAGAAGAGAGTAGGGGCCAATATTCAACATTCTTAAAGAAAAGAATTTTCAACCCAGAATTTCATATCCAGCCAAACTAAGCTTCATAAGTGAAGGAGAAATAATATACTCCACAGACAAGCAAATGCTGAGAAATTTTGTCACCACCAGGCCTGCCCTAAAAGAGCTCCTGAAGGAAGCACTAAACATGGAAAGGAACAACTGGTACCAGCCACTGCAAAAACATGCCAAATTGTAAAGACCATCAAGGCTAGGAAGAAACTGCATCAACTAACAAGCAAAATAACCAGCTAACATCATAATGACGGGATCAAATTCACACATAACAATACTAACCTTAAATGTAAATGGGTTAAATGCTCCAATTAAAAGGCACAGACTGGCAAATTGGATAAAGAGTCAAGACCCATCAGTGTGCTGTATTCAGGAAACCATTCTCACCTGCAGAGACACACATAGGCTCAAAATAAAGGGATGGAGGAAGATCTACCAAGCAAATGGAAAACAAAAAAAAGGTAGGGGTTGCAATCCTAGTCTCTGATAAAACAGACTTTAAACCACCAAAGATCAAAAGAGACAAAGCAGGCCATTACATAATGGTAAAGGGATCAATTCAACAAGAACTAACTATCCTAAATATATATGCACACAATACAGAAGCATCCAGATTCATAAAGCAAGTCCTTAGTGATCTACAAAGTGACTTAGACGCCCACAAAATAATAATGGGAGATTTTAACACCCCACTGTCAACATTAGACAGATCAACGAGACAGAAAGTCAACAAGGATATCCAGGAATTGAACTCAGCTCTGCACAAAGCAGACCTAATAGACATCTACAGAACTCTCTATCCCAAATCAACGGAATATGTATTCTTTTCAGCACCACACCACACCTATTCCAAAATTGACCACATACTTGGAAGTAAAGCACTCCTCAGCAAATGTAAAAGAACAGAAAGTATAACAAACTGTCTCTCAGACCACAGTGCAATCAAACTACAACTCTGGATTAAGAAACTCACTCGAAACCACTCAACTACATGGAAACTGAACAACCTGCTCCTGAATGACTACTGGGTACATAAGGAAATGAAGGCAGAAATAAAGATGTTCTTTGAAACCAACAAGAACAAAGACACAACATACCGGAATCTCTGGGACACATTCAAAGCAGTGTGAAGAGGGAAATTTACAGCACTAAATGCCCACAAGAGAAAGCAGGAAAGAAATAAAATTGACATCTTAACATCACAATTAAAAGAACTAGAGAAGCAAGAGCAAACACATTCAAAAGCTAGCAGAAGGCAAGAAGTAACTAAGATCAGAGCAGAACTGAAGGAAATAGAGACACAAAAAACCCTTCAAAAAAATCAATGAATCCAGAAGCTGTTTTTTTGAAAAGATCAACAAAATTGACAGACCACTAGCAAGACCAATAAAGAAGAAAAGAGAGAAGAATCAAATAGATGCAATAAAAATTGACAAAGGGGATATCACCACCGATCCCACAGAAATACAAACTACAATCAGAGAATACTATAAACACCTCTACACAAATAAACTAGAAAATCTAGAAGAAATGGATAAATTCCTTGACACATATACTCTCTCAAGACTAAACCAGAAAGAAGTTGAACCTCTGAATAGACAAATAACACGCTCTGAAATTGAGGTAATAATTAATAGCTTACCAACCAAAAAAAGTTCAGGACCAGATGGATTCACAGCCGAATTCTACCAGTGGTACAAGGAGGAAGTGGTACCATTCCTTCTGAAACTATTCCAATCAATAGAAAAAGAGGGAATCCTCCCTAACTCATTTTATGAGGCCAGCATCATCCTGATACCAAAGCCTGGCAGAGACAAAACAAAAAAAAGAGAATTTTAGACCAATATCCTTGATGAACATTGATGCAAAAATCCTCAATAAAATACTGGCAAACCGAATCCAGCAACACATAAAAAAGCTTATCCACCATGATCAAGCGGGTTTCATCCCTGGGATGCAAGGCTGGTTCAACATATGAAAATCAGTAAACGTAATCCAGCATATAAACAGGACCAAAGACAAAAACCACATGATTATCTCAATAGATGCACAAAAGGCCTTTGACAAAATTCAGCAAACCTTCACGCTAAAAACTCTCAACAAACTAGGGATTGATAGGACGTATCTCAAAATAATAAGAGCTATCTATGACAATCCCACAGCCAATATCATACTGAATGGACAAAAACTGGAAGCATTCCCTTTGAAAACTGGCACAAGACAGGGATGCCCTCTCTCACCACTCCTATTCAATATAGTGTTGGAAGTTCTGGCCAGGGCAATCAGGAAGGAGAAGGAAATAAAGGGCATTCAATTAGGAAAAGAGGAAGTCAAATTGTCCCTGTTTACAGATGACATGACTGCGTATGTGGAAAACCTCATTGTCTCAGCCCAAAATCTCCTTAAGCTAATAAGCAACTGCAGCAAAGTCTCAGGATACAAAATCAATGTTCAAAAATCACAAGCATTCTTATACACCAATAACAGACAAACAGAGAGCCAAATCATGAGTGAACTCCCATTCACAATTGCTTCAAAGAAAATAAAATACCTAGGAATACCACTTACAAGGGAAGTGAAGGACCTCTTCAAGGAGAACTACAAACTACTGCTAAATGAAATAAAAAAGGATACAACCAAACGGAAGAACATGCCATGCTCATGGGTAGGAAGAATCAATATCGTGAAAATGGCCATACTGCCCAAGGTAATTTATAGATTCAATTCCATCTCCATCAAGCTACCAATGACTTTCTTCACAGAATTGGAAAAAACTACTTTAAAGTTCATATGGAACCAAAAAAGAGCCCACATTGCCAAGTCAATCCTAAGCCAAAAGAACAAAGCTGGAGGCATCATGCTACCTGACTTCAAACTATACTACAAGGCTATAGTAACCAAAACAGCATAGTACTAGTACCAAAACAGAGATATAGACCAATGGAACAGGACAGAGCCCTCAGAAATAATGCCACATATCTACAACTATCTGATCTTTGACAAACCTGACAAAAACAAGAACTAGGAAAGGATACCCTATTTAATAAATGGTGCTGGGAAAACTGGCTAGCCATATGTAGAAAGCTGAAACTGGATCCCTTCCTTACACCTTATACAGAAATTAATTCACGATGGATTAAAGACTTACATGTTAGACCTAAAACCATAAAAACCCTAGAAGAAAAACCAGGCAATACCATTCAGGACATAGGCATGGGCAGGGACTTCATGTCTAAAACACCAAAAGCAATGGCAACAAAAGACAAAATTGACAAATGGGATCTAATTAAACTAAGGAGGTTCTGCACAGCAAAAGAAACCACTATCAGAGTGAACAGGCATCCTACAGAATGGGAGAAAAGTTTTGCGACCTCCTCATCTGACAAAGGGCTAATATCCAGAATCTACAATGAACTCAAAGAAATTCACAAGAAAAAAACAAACAACCCCATCAAAATGTGGGCAAAGGAAATGAACAGACACTTCTCAAAAGAAGACATTTTGCAGTCAAAAGACACATGAAAAAATGCTCATCATCACTGGCCATCAGAGAAATGCATATCAAAACCACAATGAGAAACCATCTCACACCAGTTAGAATGGCGATCATTAAAAAGTCAGGAAACAACAGGTGCTGGAGAGGATGTGGAGAAATAGGAACACTTTTACACTGTTGGTGGGACTGTAAACTAGTTCAACCATTGTGGATCTCGGTGTGGGGATTCCTCAGGGATCTAGAACTAGAAATACCATTTGACCCAGCCATCCCATTGCTGGGTATATACCCAAACGATTATAAATCATGCTGCTATAAAGACACAAGCACATGTATGTTTATTGTGGCACTATTCACAATAGCAAAGACTTGGAGCCAACACAAATGTCCAACAATGATAGACTGGATTAAGAAAACGTGGCACATATACACCATGGAATACCATGCAGCCATAAAAAATGTTGAGTTCATGTCCTTTGTAGGGACATGGATGAAGCTAGAAACCATCATTCTCAGCAAACCAGTGCAAGGAAAAAAAACCAAACACCACGTGTTCTCACTCATAGGTGGGAATTGAACAATGAGAAAACATGGATGCAGGAAGGGGAACATCACACACTGGGAACAGTTGTGGGGTGGGGGGAGGGGGGAAGGATAGCATTAGGAGATATCCCTAATATTAAGTGACGAGTTAATGGGTGCAGCACACCAACATGGCCCATGTATACATATCTAACAAACCTGCACGTTGTGCACATGTACCCTAAAACTTAAAATATAATAATAAAAAAAATTAACAGGAGACTTTTATACAGATAAATTTGCTTTGCATCATGATCAGCACTAAAGAGCATCATAGATTTAAACCATATTTACACAGTTAAAACAATGTAACCAAATATGCAATATATTATGTAACATTCTACAAGATGCTTTCAAACATGCAAACTGACCTTTAAAACAATTTTGCATAAAATAACATTTCTAGGTAAGAGAAAATACAGACATGTGGTTAGGGCAAAATATTTCTGTGCAAATTACAAAATACTGAATGACAAATCACAGGATAGAAAAGAATTATATTGTACCTGGAATTTGAAGTCTTCAAATTTATTTAGATATATGTATCTATATGTATTGAGACATATTTAACTGATTATAAGTTTAGAACATTTATATTTTGAAGATGTCATTCTTTAAAAATTATTAATATCTACAGGATTGATACAGATATTTTAATTTTAAACAAATATTTTTCACTAATGTGACCAGTATTTATGTCCTATTTCATTAAACAGACATTTCAACATTTTTTAGAGTTAATTTTTAAAAATTAAGTATCGCAAATATTTCTGAAGTACTACCTTAAAAAATAAAACTCTTTCCTAGCTTTTCATATAGTTAAACATTTTCATAATGACTAAAAAGATAAAAATAAATTAACAACCATAATTAATTTAGAATTCTACTTTTTATATAAGATGAAATACTATATAAAATGTCCAGAAAATCTAGTGTTAATGAGGCTGTGCAGCCTGGACATTTGATGTCTCATCTGTGGGAATGTGAACTAACCCAACCATTCTGAATAATTATTGGCTCTGTGTGTTAACAGTCTAGAGTCCTGAAACAAGGATCTTAATTCTAAAATAAAATCCTATTCTAAGAATATACCAAGGGTTGATAATCAAGGAAGTTTCAAAGTTATAGAGAAGAACCTTCATCCTAGCATTATATATGTAATCATCCATATAAACCAGATAGTGTTGAATGAAACTGCAGAAAAACAAAGAGCCTACAGAATATGTTTCTCTTTGTGTACAACTGTAAATGTACACATCTATCCATGTAAAATTTTACATCTCAGGAGGATAGGTACCAACATGTTAACATGCTATATCTGTAAGATAAGAAATTTTACTTTCCTACAATGTCATACACACACACACACACACACACTCTCTCTCAAACACACATACACACACACCGAGGATATATACACACACAAATATATATATAAACATACATGTTTATATAGGTACACACACACATACATATACACAGATGGTCAACTTATAATGGTTCAATTTATGATTTTTTTTTACTTTATGATGAAGCAAAAGTGATAGCTTTGAATAGAATATAACCATTCTGCTTTTCACTTTCAGTACAATATTCAACAAATTACATAAAATATCCAATACTTTATTATAAAGTGGGTTTTGTATTCAACGATTTTGCCCAATTGTCTGCTGATGTAAGTGTTCTGAGCACATTAAAGGTATGCCAGGCTAAGCTGTGATATTCAGTAAGTTAGGTATTAAATACATTTAATAATGTATTTCAATTTATAATCAGCTTATCAAGACTTAACCCCATTGTACATTGAAAAGCATTTGTATTGCATTAAACATGTTATATAATATTTTTAATTGAAATTACTGGCAACTTTTGAAAAAATGCAATGAAATAATGTGCTTTGCTATTGGTTAAAATGTTTTTGGGCAGGGTCAGTGGCTTACACCTGTAATCCCAGCACTTTGGTAGGCTGAACTGGGCAGATCACTTGAGGTCAGGAGTTTGAGACCAGCCTGGCAAACAGGGTGAAACCCCATCTCTACTAAAAATACAAAAATTATCTGAGTGTGGTGGCATGTGCCTGTAATCCCAGCTACTAGGGAGGCTGAGGTGTGAGAATTGCTTGAACTATGCAAGCAGAGGTTGCAGTGAGCCAAGATCATGCCATTGCACTCCAGCCTGGGCAACAGAGTAAGATTCTGTCAGAAAAAAAAAAAAGAAAGAAAGAAAGAAAAGAAAAAAACTTTTTAGCTTCAAGTAACAGAATAGTCAACTAATTGAAGAAAAAAACAAGGAGCAACTTTTACCAAATCGGACAACAAATAGATGGTATCAATGCTTAGTTAATTCAACATGATCCACTTCTTTATGATTCTCTTATCTTTCTACCTATGTTTTCAAGATGGCTACGGCATTCCCAGCCTTACAACTTCATGTGACAAAATCCAATGGCAGGAAATAATAAGTGACGGCATTTTGGAACGTTAAGGAAAAACTTTAAGGATTGGAAAACAGGGATGCCATATGTCCAGTAACATGGGATAGCCGCTCCTAATTAAGGATTTCTGTATGTCCTGAATGACTTTCTAATGTAATGAAGGTGAATAACCTGCTTTGTTTAATTATACAATCCCAAATGTAACTGCCTAAGTGCCAAGTACTTTTGCATGGTTTTAATATGCCATGAATTTTGCAAGAATGAAACTACTATGTATATGAGAAAAGACGGTAGATTTTTTCATTTAGATACTCATTTCAGAGTCTCAATAGGAAAAATAGAACACACACAAACTAAGATAATTTAACATGGGTTTATTTCCAAAGAGACTACTTACGAAAATTTCAGGGGAGAAGGGTGAAGGAATCACAGAAATCACACCCCACAATAACTCTGGGTTAGTAGCAGCAGGCAGAGTTCTGGGGAGTAAACTGCCCTGATCACACAAGGAAACACTAATTTTCTTATGAAAAAGATTGGTCAAGGAGACCTAGCAGAGAGGGAGTTTAGGCAATAACCCCCAATCCCATTTCCTCCTTCCCTTTAATCTCATGAACATGCATAGAAGGCAATGAGCAAGGGAACCGATTGAGATATTCAATATGGTCCATTCCACTTGGACAAAAGCCAGTAAATAGGGGAGTATAACAGGGGACAAGGGCCAAACAGAAAGTATCTATTACATTTACCAATGCAGATCAATCATGTCAACAATAGAAATGGCAGTTTTGGCATTTGGTTATTCAATGAAACTATATTTGTAGCTTTTTATTTAAAATGTTTCAAGGTATGGGCGAAGATATGAAAATTTCATTATGTTCTATTGTATTTGAGATGTAAATGTTCTGGCACAATTATATACATTTTGGATCATATATTGACAGTAAATTATTTCTCCTTTGTTAGCTTCAGCATAACATTAATATTTTCAACAACTTGAATGCATACATTGTGTTCTCACTAATAGTTTAGAATAGTGAAGGGGTCTTTGAAGAATTTCTTATGAAGTAGAGGCATTGGGTCAGACAGAGCCGAAAACCATTGGCTTAGATTAATCACTATTTATCCTAGGGTTGAAGAGGGCCAATTGAAGACACAAATATCCAATCCCTCTATGACCTTGGAGATCTAGGAAACAGAGAAATAGAGACTGGTTCTTAAGGAGGTAATAAGTGTGCCTTCTATGGTTTATAATAATATGCATTGTCTTAACAATCGAATACTTAAATGTTAATGCCCTCATAATATGCAAAATTTTTAATAAGCACATTGGTCCCTGTGTTCAAGTAGTTGATAATCAAATTACTGTAGTATGGTAAGTCTTTTGAAGAGCATTAAACAGCAGAGAATGTAAGAAATTTGTCCCTATAATAGTGTGGGCCTTCTGTGTTTCCTAAGGGCACATTCATATGATCTAATAACTGAGCAGAGAGAAGCCTAAAGGATAGTTTATGGTTTCATTTGTTTGTTTTTGCCAATTAACATACATTTCTAGATTAAAAGTCAACTATCTTTTCCTTGGAAGTCAACTATAGGAGAAGATAGTGAAGAGGCAAGGAAAATTACAGCAGCTCAACAGCTTTACCCTGGAAATATCTGTATTGTGTACTGCTATAACCTACCTTTATCAGTCACATAACAATGTCAAAGAGGCAAGCTTGGCACCATTGCTCTTAGTGAATCCCTGCTGCCAGCCTTTTAACCTAAGTGCTCTCCAAAGACCCATTTAATGGACCTTCCTGAAATTGTGCTCAGGATCAATATGAGGCTCATTGATACAGCATTTTTGGAACTCACCATTTGCTTATTTATTAAACCTGGGATAGTTGCCCGACTTCTATCATCTGAAACACTCTCCATGACTTTCAAAATTACCAACATTGGTTCAAACATCATTCCTAGAAAACATTTCAGTGGAGCATATTTATCTGACATTTGACTGTATTTATAGCAGTAAGAATCTATGATGATTCCTCCCAAAATAATCCCACAATTACCCATTTTGGGTCACCTTTGAGGATCTTACCCTTAATATCAGAGATCTGTTCTATACATTTGAGTCTTAGAAATAATTATTAGCTTCTCTGTGAATTTAACTGAAGTTCCTTACTTTTATTCAGCCTGTTACCCAAATTACATAATGTATTGAAAGCTAAAAACTGTCCACATTTCTGATTACATTTAGTTAAAAATGGGAATATGACTTTTTCTTTTTCTAACTTGGCAAAGATTATGTTTTTTTTTCATGAAGAAATATAGGCATATTTAAACACTCAGGATCTGAGAATTTGAAATACATGAAACTTAGCAAGTGGTCTTTAAGTAGTTTTCATTTCTAAATTATAGTACATAACATTGAATGCCACAGAAGGAAAGACAATGAGGGATTACACATAAATATTGCCTTTATGATATCCTTCCAAAGAAAACCAAGTGTCCCTGTGCTTGGACTCATAAAGCAGAAATGCTTACCTTGCTTTTATGTCACTAACAAACAATTGTGCCTAGTCATTTAATTATTACACATTTAAGCCATCTTGAGAGTGGAGCCCCTAGGGAAAACTACAAATGGAAAATTCATTGATTTTTGATTTTGCTTTCCTATGGATTAAATTTAACACTTTCTTGTAAATCTCTCCCTTTACAGATCATATGTGATAAATAGTTATCCAACTTTCTAGATGTCCACCCAGAGCTGCTTCCATATGAAGAGGTGGAAACGGATTCTGTGCAT
Source organism: Homo sapiens (assembly GCF_000001405.40). Taxonomy (NCBI): domain Eukaryota; kingdom Metazoa; phylum Chordata; class Mammalia; order Primates; family Hominidae; genus Homo; species Homo sapiens. The sequence continues at coordinate 121,634 of NT_187506.1, read as the reverse complement.
GATACTGGTTAGGATCGGGAACTGTTTTTTTTAAAGGAGATTTTTAAAATTTGTTTTCCTTGTACACATAGCCTTAATATTGTGTTGCTAACTGCTCTCTGGGAACAAAGTCATACCAATCACAAATACATTGCCTAAAGTGGGAGGGTTATTACTCTGCTGTGAATTCCATCTCCTATTATGTTTTAAAGATGCTACAAACTTGAGACATTATTATGTAGATGACATTCCCAGCAAATCCCCAAACAACACTTAATGAGATTTCAAATACCAGGATCATGAAACAGTAAAAGATATAAGGAAATAAAGAAAAGCACAGTATATGTGTAGAAGGCATTAAAACACAAATTTTATAATTATGAATGCATATAATAAGGAACAAGTTTTATTCTAAATAGCAATTAAATCAGAACTACGATACAGGGAATAAAAGTGAATATTAAACCATTGTACCGACAATAACAGAGCCCTTTTTCTGCTGCGTGATGGAATTTAGTGTTTACTAAGGAAGAAAAAAATGCAAGATATCTTAAATTTGGTACTTCCCAACAAATTTAAGAAATGTGTACACACTTGAGGAGACTTAAGAAGTCTCTGACTAAAACACTAGAAAAGAAAAGCAGTGAAAAGCCAAATAGCTATTACTCAACAATAACAACATTTGTTACTATTATATTAATATTAAACACACTATTAAGCAACAACATTTCAGTTACTCACTGAGCCCAAAGTCATTTTTCATGAACCATTCACAACACTGATAACCTATTGAAACATGATTGAAAACAAAAAAGCTTATTGCTTTCCAAGTCCTTTTAAAGCCTTCTCATGTGTCATTTCATATAATCCTTATAACGAATCTATGGAGTATATACTGACTTTATCTCTGTACAGAAAAGAAAACTGAATCACATTCAGAATAAGTTGCAAAGTTCCCCAGATAATCAGTGTCATAGGTGAAATTTGGTGTCATAGGTGAAATTTGATGTCACAGTGTACTCAAGTGTAATTTAGGGAAGCAGTACAAATGATGTTTGAAAGCACAGGTTCTGGGGTAAATAGCCTGAAGTCAAAGTCTAGTTCATATCCTCAGTGGCTGTGTGATCTTGGGAAATTTCCCTTAACTCTCTGTGTCTTGGTTTTATAGTTTCATCCATTTTTGCCTCTCATATGAGCTGGTGAGCATTACACTAGTTTATACTTCTAGGACACTGAAAACAGTACCTGGCTCTTGATAAATATTAACAATTTTGTTTCATTTTCTTCACCTTGAGTATTTCATGGCCAGATGGAAATCAATGTCAATATGAAAAAATGTTCATAATTCAGCAGGAAGAAATATAAAACCATATAAACAACTTTGTTTTACTGGCAAGTGTATTTGGAAGCTATGTTAAATTGAGAAGGGGAAGGGAAAGCCTCTAAGGTTATCGATTAATCAATGACCGAAAGCTGATGAGACTTGTCTGGAATTTTTTTTGGAGACTCTGAGACTTAAAATTTTGAAAAAATAAGGAGATGAATTGAGTAGTGTGGAAGAGACATTTTCTGAAGTCAGCAGAGAAAGGAGAGACAAAAATGGTAAGGGGAAAATAGTATGAAGTAATAATATGAATGAAGAGCTTTCTAAAGTATAACACATGTAAGTTGTGTTAAATGTAAACTATCATGATTATATCATTACTGTCTGACTGATACAACTATATCCACCTCAGTTAGCCACATAAGATCAATTTTCCTATACCTTAGAGAATACCAGTAACCTCCAGTTCAGAAACAGCATAAATATCTATCCACAGCTGAGCAGACACATACAGCTAGCTACCAGATGAAATGGGCTATATCTTCAAATACTATTGTTTTCCGTTTTTTAACTGTGGCAAAACACACTCAACAATTTGCATCTTAACCACTGTTAAGTATACAATTCAGTGTCATTAAATGTATTCACAATGTTGTGCAAGCATCACCACCACCCATCTCCATAATTCTTTTTGTCTTGTAAAATTGAAATCCTGTACCCATTAAAAAGTGACTCCCCATTCCCCGCCCTCCCAGGGCAACTACAGCTTTACTTTCTGTCTTGATGAATCATACAATATCAAATGGAATTTTTAAGATATTTAAAATATTTTGTCTGGAAGTCAAGTGGAAGTTAATATCAATGGCTATGCCTTCAGTGAGTTCTCAGACCATATTACAATGTAGTTAACTATTTATCTTTTATTACGTTCTAGACCTATTATTTCTTTCTGGCACAAAAATATCTTCTTTGTAGATTATGGCATTTACCTCTATCTCCACACCTTTTTGTTTCTGTCATCCACAGATCATCAGCCTCTTGCTTAGTCTCCATTTAATGACAATTTCTATTTAGTATACAACAGTCCTTCCCCCTGCAATGCAATTTCGTCACTCTGAAAAGCTCTGAGTCTGGCTACTGGTCTCTGTTATGTACTCATCCCTAGAGCCATGTCTTCAAATATTTCTCAGAACTTCTTCACATCTAAAAATCTAGGATTAATTTATTGCTCTCTGATTATATTCTTCTGGTATTTCAAGTATCCTGTATAACTTCTTCATCTGCCCTTGCTTTTCTTCTACATCAAGATGTCAAGTTCATGGACTTCCCAATTAATCATTTTAAAAATTTATTTCAAGCCTTTATGAGTCACTACAATGTACATATGTTCTCAGGAATTATGGCCCTACAATTTGTATGTGAGAATAGTTCCTGTGTCAGGCATTATGGACATAAGAGTAAATAAATTCTAGCCCCTGCCTACAAGGAGCTAATTCCCAGCCTAAGACAGATTGCAAGCCAATAATATGCAGAGTTGTAAGTCTAAGGAAACTGATTGGGATGTACCTAATTCGAGCTGGGAATATCAGAAGAAAAACTTTTTGAAAGTCATGAGACATGAGCTGTGCCTAAAAGAATAAAAAATAGAGAGAGAAATAAGAATAAATAAATTAGGGAATGAGATGGGTATAATAGTAGAAAAAGGAAATCTCTTTAGATAAAACAGGTTATGAGAGTATATAGGAGGCTTATTAACTCAGTGTGGTTGGAGAAAACAGGTTGAAAGGAGAAATAGGGGAGAAAGTTACAAAGGGAATCAAATGTGTTAGTAGTTGAGGAAAAAGCAAATATTGAATACGACCCATAGATCTTGGATAACCCAGTGTTTGGTAGTAGCTTACATAAAAGGTTGTGACAAAATAACCAGAGATATGCGGAGAAAATAATAACTGAGTGTTATATTTCCTCTCAGTAGAAACCTAAAAAAAAAAATGAAATCACATCCTGATCTTTTAACTGACCTCCACTTATCTTGCTGCCTGGATTGGTATACATATTCCTCTGCCTGAAAAATTGCTCAACACTTTTGAAAGGTTGTTTCTCACTGTTACACCCAGGCATTTCTGCTAACACCAGCTGAGTTGTAAGGGGCCCTCCAGGAGGCCTAGGTTGTTCTCCTTATCACATACATTATTTTCATTTATCAATTTACCCAGAACATCTAATGAAATATTATGGACACCAATAACATGAATACAAATATAGCTATAGACCCTAACAAGTAAATTGATGTCTCTTGAAAGGCTGTCATGTCTTAGATGCTAAATTTGGAGTGTTTCTAATAAATAAATAGCTTGCTTTAATAATTCTGATTTATGAATGTAATATAGGGGAGCAGCTTTTATTTCACCCTTAATCTTAAAAAACAATTAGCCGGGTGTGGTGGCGGGCACCTGTAGCCCCAGCTACTCAGGAGGCTGAAACAGAAGGATGGTGTGCACCTGGGAGGCAGAGCTTGCTGTAAGCCAAAATTGTGCCACTGTACTCCAGCCTGAGTGACAGTGTGAGACTCTGTCTCAAAAAAAAAAAAAAAAAAAAAAAAGATCATACAAGGAGTAAATGATGATTTAGCATAAAACTCAACTTTAGCCTAAAACACAGATCATAGGGCTCAAACTTTGTTATTTTATGGGATTATACTAACCAGTTAATATTCAAAATTTACCATTTCAAAAGAAGAAATATTGGTCTGGGAAAATTGCCATTGCTTATACAGAAGAATGGAGGAAGCTTTTTGAGAACAACAATTCTAATGATCTTCCTCATCACTGGTTCCAAAACCAAGCCCATGGAAGTCCTGCATAGGGATAATGTGGAGAACATGCAAAAGAAATACACATCACCAGCTCCTCAACTCAGAGCTCCAAGGGAATGGCCAAGGAAGCTGTATTGTCCTAAGAAATTTGAGGCTGTCTTGACTTACAATAAATCCTGCTCAATCATATGCATGTATACACACACACACACACACACACACACAGACGGTGTTGTCAGTGAAGCCTCTAACAATGCATCTTGACTGGACAGATTTGACAATTAAAATGGCTGGAAGAAAATAGTCTTCATAAGTGGCACTTACTATTCACATTACGCATTAAAAGGACATCTCCTAAATTAAATCTTGTCTACGATAAAAAGGCAGAAAATCATGACCCAAGGCTCATTTATAACTGCAGAAATGTTCAAGATAGACCAATGCTTGCTATGTTTAGGAACTGACAAGAAAGTACAGGTCTTTATAATCTACCATTTTGCCTCATTTGATACCAAGTGACCTTCATAATGCAGGCTATAGAGAATTGCAAGATTTGTCAGAGATTTCAGGTCTTTGGAAAGCTATGCTCTTTCACAAGAACAGCCATGGAAACAGGAAGAAAGTCAATTCCCACTTAAGGTAATCAGAATTTACAAATATTCCTTTCTTCATTGAAATCTCAATAGGCACTTCAATATTATATTTAATTAATTCTTTTGTTACAGTCATGCATCACATAACAACATTTTGGTCAAGGATAGTGCACTTGTATGACAGTGGTGCAATAAAATCATAACACTATTTTTACTGTACCTCTTGTATGTTTAGACATGTATAGATACACTTACTGTATATATATAAGTATAGATATACTTAACTGTTGTGTTACAATTGCCTACAGTATTCAGTACAGTAACATGCTGCACAGGTTTGTAGCCTAGGAGGAATAGGTTATACCACCTAACCTAGGTATGTAATCAGCTATAGCATCTAGGTTTGTGTAAGTAAACTCTGTGATGTTCATACAATAATAAAATTGTCCAGCAATGCATTTCTCAGACACACCCCTCTCATTAAGTGACACACGACTGTATTAGTTAACACTATGGGAACTTCATGGGAAATGGACACTCTAGCTCCACCATAAATAGAAACTGTTTATGTCAAAAAACACATAAAAGCATAGTTGCAAGATTACAATTCCTTCCAGATATTTCATTTAGTATCTCTACAGATCACTAACTTCCTGAATAACATTCTTGTGTCTCCACTGCCTCACATTTGATTTCAGGTCATTCCATCAATTGTCAAAGATGCATCCAACATTAACTTTCCAACTACTGGTTTGGATTGTGTCAACATTGTCATCCTGGGCCACAACAACACAAAAGGCTAACTCGGTGAGGTAACATAGACACTGATCAGTGAGATTTTGCTGATGGGTGGTACGATTTTTTACTAAGATCAAGGGTATTCATACCTTCAGGCATCTAGACAACATTGAAAAGGGCAGGTTCATAGATAAAAAAGGAAAGAGGAAGGGTTTTTGCACTATACATCAGCTACCGTGTCTCCTGTTTAACCTGAGTCTGAAGAGATTCAAAGTGCAGGTGCCATGAATGCCTCTTTAATAGCTTCATGTCGATTGATTTTCTGGGCTACACTTCCCAGCATTCAAATTGCTAAGTGCATATAAACTACTAGTGAATATTTATTACCTGGATTTGTGCTTTTGAGTGACCTTATCTATAGTTATGTGCTTCAGTGGTCCAACTTGGGGTGCACTCCAAACTTTGATAAATTAAAGACCCTGCTTATTCCTTGAGTAATGCTACACTGACAACTGATTTAGTGAATGCCACTGTGAAAATAATAAACCTCTTGGTGAATATATTTAGACATGTCTTGTAACCTGTACACATCTTAACCAGGGATGTTACTTGGTCTTTCTATGTTCAGGAGTGTGTGGAGATAGAAAAGCATACAGGATTGTAATTGTTTCCTGTGAGACTAACAGAAAATTCAAGCTAGTGAAGTATGCTTATGCATGGCACACTTCTCACCAGCAATTTTAGGAAGTTCTACCCAAAACCCATATGTCTTTTGATATGTGGGTTACCTTGGAGAGAGAAAAAGAAACTCTGAAAACAAGCATGAAATACTTTAGAATTTTATCTAGAGTTGGACTTGTCCGAAAGCTTTTGTATAAACTTGCTTGATGAGCAACTGTTGTCCACTGGTACCTTCACCGTACAATCCTCACACAACCAAACTTCACAACTGGACACCTAAATTTGCACTTTGTTTGGTAAAGTTGAATGAAAAATGTTGTCTTTTAAGCTTATGCTCTCTTACGAAAGCTGTTATTAGATTAATTTTACTCCAAGATACGCCAATTAGGAAATAACTTCCAATTTAATTTCACCAACTCCCTCTGGATGGACTAATTAGTCATACATCACACTTACTCTGGTGGTGAAATGCCTCAAAAGAAGGTCTCCAGAGTGTTGCTCTACCTAGAAGGACAAGAATGAAGAGACATAAAAATCATTCATTAAGAAGGAAGAAGATTTTCCTTGCCTAGATTTTCACTTGTAGGATGCAATTAATTTTATCACTTAATATTTTGTCCTGGTGGGCATTCATTTTACAAATTTGTAAGGTCAGTAGAAATGGAAACTTTTGGAAATCGAACTGTAAATGTTCTGTAGACGTTGACAGAAATAGCTATTTGGAGCTGTGCTTTTGCCAACTAGACACTCTGAGAAAATCTGTGAGAGAATATTTTCAGGAAGTCATTGAACCCCCTAAAAATCAAGTTGATTGCTTTTACCATAAATATAAATAATTTATTTATTATCTACCACTTTCAGTATTCCAATAAGTAACATTTATTGTTTATTTCATTGACATGATCTACATATACACACAATTTATCTTCTTTTGTGATACATTCAGAAAATTTGCTGCCTGGAAAAGCCATATTTTAAAATTACCACCTGTTTGATGATTTTTTTTATACTTTAAGTTTTAGAGCACATGTGCACAACGTGTAGTTTAGTTACATATGTATACATATGCCATGTTGGTGTGCTGCACCCATTAACTCATCATTTAGCATTAGGTATGTCTCCAAATGCTATCCCTCCCCCCTCCCCCCACCCCGCAACAGGCCCTGGTGTGTGATGTTCCCCTTCCTGTGTGCATGTGTTCTCATTGTTCAATTCCCACCTATGAGTGAGAACATGCAGTGTTTCATTTGCACTTAAGTATCTATCTCTATTTGTCCTTTATTTTCACTTCCATCCTGGCTCTATCCCTTGTCTCCTTCGTGTGTCTCAGGATAAGTGCCCTATAACATTTTATATTTCTGGAAACCCTTCAATATAATGTTATTACATGTAAAAATAAAAAGTCTGTTTTAGTGAACTTTTTCTTCACAAATTATCTTTTCCTACTTCCCTATTAGACAATTTCTGTAGGCTCCATATGCTATTAATTTATATTCACTTTTAGAAGAATTTTAATCAAAAGCAAAATTCTTATGTAAATTGTTTATATGCTATTTGTACTTCTGTGTATATATACACACATAGCCACATACACATATGTAACTCCGGAGGCCTGCCTAGACTGTTTAATAACTGTATTGAACAAGAGCAAGAAAAAGCTGTTCAAATTTCAAACAAAAAGTTGAACTGAAGAGCTCATATCTTTGAACGAAATATACACTAGTAGCCTTTAAAAATTAAATATTTCTACTGTTTTAAAAAATTATAGCCATCATAGTATGAGGAAAAAATGTAATAATCCTTTTTAATTCTTACCATTTTATTAACTACGGAGTCCTTATGCCCTAACTTCATTGGTACCCCTTTGAGATTAAACAGAACACTTAATTTAAAATTCTGATAAATAAATTAATTACACCACTTACTTGAGGTACTCTTTCACCTTTCAAGAAATATTTTGAGAATTCATTGGCTAAATATTGCTATAATGCAGGCTAGTAATAAATGGAAATAATGAGTTCATTGTAAAGTTTAAACTAATGATGGTATGATCTGGAATTTTTGTTAACCTAGAAGACATAATTAGCTCTAGAGGTGAAATGAAAGACAAAATCACCTCACATATTAGTAAAAAACAAATAATATAACTTTATAAGCTGCTGCTGTTCTTTTGCTATTAAGAACCATTGACATCTGTAATTAGGGAAGATTATGGAAAGGTTAAAGGTGAGAATACATGCAGTCTATCTACAGGAAACCTATACTGTTTAGGTTAAGGAAATGTCTGCGAAAGTCATATTAATTAGCAGGTTCACAGGAAACTAACATTTATTGTATAAATTCCATGGTAAAATGTATTAGGGCTCCACGCACACAACTGTGTGCCATCTACGTTACCACACAGTGCTTACTTCTTTCAGTTTTTATTCATTTCTCTCCTAACGGTCTGTATGGTATTATTGCATAGTTCTAAAAACCTTCCATGAGGCAGAAATTTCATTTAATGATATAGCTTTGAAAACAATGAAAAACAGTAGAAACTTTCTATTTTTTTATGAAGCAGAATTGTTGAATTTTCAGTTTCATTTATTTAATGTTACAAGATGACAAACATATTTCTTTAATTCCCTCTTGTTATTTTTGTCTAACATCAACCAAAGCCATTTCTTTCATTTGAAGGTGAAAACTGCTCATCAAAATCCAGTTTAAGCTGAGAAACAAAGAACTAAATTTTGCATGAGAGATTATACACTGCATAAGTATAAAAGAGGACCAGAAACAATGGTGGATTAGCAATTTTTGAAAAGACAAAAGCAGGTTATCATCAAATCAATTGTTACCAACACCCCAATTCCACCTCTAGGCCAGAAAATTAGCCACTTACCCACGGGAAAACAATGATTGAAGACAAAGTTCACCAGTGAAAGTTGGTTATATTTTTCCATCCTTGCATCAACTAAAATGATATCTACTGTTCCTCTTAACACTTTTCTTACTTTCAAATATGTGGGTATGCTTAATTAGCTGAGGCCATGTTCCATATGTACATCTGGCTACAAGGGAAACTGGGAATGTGAGCCCCAATACTTATGTTTGTAGAGTATTTAGAAATTTGAGAATTCCCTCCAAATAAAGAGTTTTTTAAAACATTGTTAGACAAAAAGTTTGAATTACAAAATGTGGTAGTAGCTCAGGTCTAACTCAAATGCAGGGAAAAAACTATTAGCTCTAAAAAAATTAAATACACATTTGATGGTAATGAGAAACAGAAAACAGGCAGAAATAGTAGAATATTCAACCACTGATGAAGTATTCGACCATTGAATAAAGAAAATTGCAATGATTTAAATTTGCATCAATGCAACTTCACACCTGATGACACTTCCCAGTCTGTGCAAAATTAGGTGTCTACGAGTAAAGCGGTGAGTTTTACTAGCTTGAGGAATAAGAGCACAGAGTCCCAAGCTGACAGAAAAGAAGAACTGGGAAATTTGAATGACATGGGAGGAAATCTCACAAAACTGAAAGTCACAGAGGAGAATGTCACAGAGTAAAACTCTAAAATCAGCACTTAAACTTCATTCAGATATATGATGGCTGCTACATTTCACATTCATAAAAAGAGACTCCATAGAATCCAGCAGAAAACAGCAGCTAAATTGCTAGAACAGAGCAGAGATTTCAACCATTGCATATAGCTCAGGAGTGAAGGTTTGGTGTTTGACTACAGAAAGAAGACTAATGTTAGAAAAGAGTCACTCTTCAAAGGAAAATAAAAGACCCTATCTCTACAAAATATCATAAACATAATCTAACATTTAATTTAACCTGCCTAGACATAGAACCAGGAAAATTTGACACATAACAAAAAAATAAACAATGGATTAAGACATTGAAATGGCCCACATGCTGGAATTAGAAGATAAGAAATTTAAAATAAGCTATTATAAGCATATTCAAGGATTTAAGGAATAGATGGTCATAAGAGAGAATATATGGAGAATCTCAACAGAGAAGTAAAAATGATAAAGAGATAATAGGACAAATTTTAGAACTGAGAGACAGAATATCTTATATAAAAATGTCATTTTATGCACATACCAGTTAATTAAAGATGGCAGAAAAAACTATCAGTGCACTTAAAAACAGATCAAGTACAATTTCCCAATACAGTTAATACAAAGGAAGAAAAATAATAAAAATAGAGTCAGTCTAGCACTAATATAATTGGAGTCCTAGAAAGAGTAGAGAAGAAAATGAGACCGAAAAAGCTATTTGAAAAAGTAAAGACCAAAAGTTTTCCTAATTGTCAGCATATATCAACTTACAGGTTTAAGAAACTCAAAGAACAGAATAAAAATAAAGAGAACCAAATGAAGACATACCATACTCAAACCACTGGGCAAAAAAAGAGTAAATCTTGAAAGTAGCTAAAGGGAAGGAGAAAATAATTTACATACGTGGAAACAAATAGACAGATGACCTGTCATCAGAAATGACACTTTAAAAAACAATGAAACTACATCTTCAAAATTAAAAAAAAAACTGTCAACTCCAAATTCTATAACTAGAAAAAGTAATTCTTGAGAAAATAAAGATTTATTCAGATAAAAGAAAGCTTCGAACAACTGTCATTAGCAGACCTAGATACAAGAAATGCAAACGGAAATTTTTTAGGCTAAAGAAAGATAACAACAGATGGAAATTCTGACCTACAGGAAGCAAGGAGAAGCTCTTGGAATGGCATGTGCATAAACATGAAAAACTAAGGCTTTTTTCTTTTAGTTTTATAACAAACAACTGATGGCTTAAATAAAAAATTAAGTGTACTATTGATAATGTATGTAGAGTAAAATATTCTAAATTAATAGCTCTGACAGGAGACTAAACGCAAAAATTTTGCCACAACTTTTCTTTATGTTACATGAAAATGTTGACTATTAACAGTAAGTGGACTGTGATAAGCCCAGGATGTTTATTATAATCCCTAGAGAACCACCACATTATATGAAGATATTCTTCTAAAATGCCAATAAAGGAATTAAAATGGAACCCTGAATATTGTTCAGTTAATATAAAAAGGCATGAAAGAAAGAACAGAGGAGCAAAAAATGATGGAACAAATAGAACATAAGAGCAAAATAGGCTGGGCGCAGTGGCTCAGCCTGTAATCCCAGCACTTTGGGAGGCCAAGGCGGGTGGATAACGAGGTCAGGAGATCGAGACAATCCTGGCTAACATGGTGAAACGCCGTCTCTACTAAAAATACAAAAATTAGCCGGGCGTGGCGGCGGGCGCCTGTAGTACCAGCTACTCCGGATGCTGAGGCAGGAATATGGTGTGAACCCGGGAGGCGGAGCTTGCAGTGAGCCGAGATTCCGCCACTGCACTCCAGCCTGGGTGACAGGACCAGACTGTGTCTCAAAAAAAAAAAAAAAAAAAGCAAAAATAGTAGGCTTAAATCCAAACTTTTCAATAATTATTTCAAATATAAATACTCCAAATAAAACACAGATTGTCCAACTGGATAATAAAAGTACCTATAAGAGATGCATGCCAAATATTATGGTATAGATAAGTTGAGAGTAAAATAATTTCCAAGTATACCAAGAAAACAACAAGCACAAGAAATCTTATGTGGCTATATTAATATAAGAAAAAGTAGACCTCCAAACAAGCAATATTACAACAGACAGCTATTTCACAATGATAAAATGTCAAGTAATTATGAAGACATAATGCTGTATTACTGACAGAATAACTAAAGAAAATTAAGATAAAATAATTTTGACAACAGCTTGACCTAATCGATATTGATCAAGACAATAGAATATATGTTCTATTATGCTACACATGAAACATTTATCAATAGGCTATAGACCACAAAATATCTCTCAAGAAGTTTCAAAACACTGTAATCATAGAAAGTATGCTTTCTGACCATAATGAAAATGAGTTGAAATGGTTAAAAACAAGCTACCCAGGAAAGTGTACACTATTGGAAGTTTTAAATACACCTTAAAATGCCCTTTAGCTCAATGAAGAAATCATAAGAAACACCTTTAAATACATTGAACTGAATACAAATAAAAATATACTATATCAAAATGTATGGGATAAAGTTAAGCAGACCCAGATTAAGTTTTTTGTATAAATGCTTATTCTAGAAAAGAGAAGTTCAAAACAAGTGAACTAATTTTCTACCTTAAAAAGAAAATCTAAAACAAGAGAGCAAATTAAGTCCAAAACAAGTAGAAGAAAGGAAATAAAACAGAAATTAGAAATCAATGAGACAGAAAACAGAAACAGGAGAAAATCAACATGGCCAAAAGTTCTGTGAGAAAGAAAGAAAACGCAAATTATAAATATCAGGGATTAATGAGATTGTACAGTTGTAGACACAAGAGACATTAACAAGATAATGGAATATTGTGAAACATTTTATACAAATTTTCATTACTTGGATGAAAGGGTGAATTTCTTGAAAAAAACTTATAAAAAAATTCACAAGTTTAAATGGAACATATGAAGTAATTGACATTTATTAAAGTAATTAAATTAATTGTAAAATACCTGCACATAAAAACACAAAATTAAAGAAATAAAAAATAAGCAAACCCCAGATCCAAAGAATTTCACTGGTGAATTCTTTCAAATGTTTAAAAAAAATAAAATTTTTAAATTATTTCAGAAATAAAGAAGGGGGAAATTCCAAACTTGTTTTATGAGTCAGAATCCTGATACCAAAATTACAAAACCTAGGAATGCAAAATTGACTTCAACTTAAAGAGCTATCACCATTTTAATCTGTGACTCTAATGAATTTGGCTATCTTAGATACTTTATACAAGTGGAATCATACAGTTTGTCCTTCTGTGACTGATTTACTTTACTTAGCATTAATGTCCTCTAGGTTCATCCATGTTGCATATTGACAGGCTTTCTTGTTTTAAAGCTGAATAATATTCCGTTGTATGAATATACCACATTTTCTTTATCTATTCATCTGCCAATAGACATTAACCTTATTTCCACATTTTGATTAGTGTAAATAATGCTGCAATGAGCCTGAGAATCATCCCAATCTCAATTCTTTCAGATAAATAACCTGAAGTGAGACTACTAGATCATATGGTGGTTCTACTTTCTTAATTTTTTTGAGGAACCATCGTACTGTTTTCCATAGAGGCTGCACAGTTTTATTTTCCCAGAAACACTGTAGAAGTGTTCCAATTTCTCCCCATTGTTAACACTCGTTATCTTTTTCTTTTAATAAGACTATTCTAATGGGCTTGAGGCAATATCTCTTTGTGGTTTTGATTTGCATATCCCTGATTAGTGATGCTGAGCATTTTTTTCATGTATCTGTTGGTCATTTGGATATTTTCTTTGGAGAAATATCTATTGCTGATTTAAAAATAAAAACTCTCAGCAAGCTAGAAAAAGAAATTTTCTCGAAGTGATGGAAAGCATCCACAACAAAACATATAAACAATACTATATTTAATGGTGAAATCGTAAATGTTTAAACCACATAGATTAGGACAAGAAAGGGATGTGTGTGTTCATCACCTCTATTCAACATTGTACTGGTGATCCTAGATTTTGAGTATAAATATTTAGGGGACAACTATTGTCACTGAAGCCCAAATCTTGGTCATCCTCAGAAAAAAAAAAAAGTTGATTAGGTTGTATATAATCTAATTCTACTTGCTAATATAATTTCTCTAAAATTACAGCTTGTATCAACTCTAGAATTTATTGGGCACCTCCTAGGACATAAACACTGGAATTTGGTGAGAGACGTCAAATAGGAAAGAACCTGGCTCTGAAATAAATTCAACACGCGGAGGGGGACACATGTTATGAGACTGACCTGGCCTCTTCATCTCATAAAAGGGGTTCTTGTTGCTGGTAACACAGATTAAAACTATTTCAATTACATTCAAGATAAAAAGATTAGCAATGGTATCTAAGTTGAAAAAATCACCCCGTAGGAAGACAAAAGTCTCACAAAAGGATATTTAAGCTAGCCAACACTTTGAAATTCAGGCAGAGATCGTGCTTTCTGGGTGAACTAAAGTAGCAAGAACAAAGTAGAGGCTCCAATTCTAGGAAAGATGGGCCCGAATAAGGTTTACAATCCAGAAACTCAAGATATCCAGACAGAAGGATGCAGTCTCTGCTTTCAAGGCAGCAGCAGCACCTGGATTACTAAGCCAATCCCCAACACAATCATAAACACAAATTTGATTGAGGAAGAAACTTGCCCACCAGAAGATTTAGGTTATTACAAGGTAGAATGTGATAGAGAAAATGAGCATGGGACTGGAAACAAAAGGAGGTAGCCCCATGATTACAACTGGAATATATCTGTCAGCGATGGTGCGGAAATAAGACTGAAAAGAGAGATCCTTAAACCCCACGTGCCTTACATCAGGACTAATCCTGGACACAGGCTGGAAAGCATAGCCTACAGGTGGTGAGGGAGGAGGAGTGGGCTCAGCTGTGAGAAGGAGAAGGAAATATGGCTGAAAACCAGATAGGGGTCTTGAAATCACACAGAGGATTTGGGCCTTTGCTGCTGTCTGCCAGCAGCTGCCAGTAGTTCTCACACTTTGGCTGGCAACAAAATCACCTGGGACAGTGGTGCGGAAGTGCGGGGAGTGTTGTAAAACCACAAGTGACCAGGCAAAAAACACCTGTATGTTTTCCAATTCAGTAAGTACAGAAATATTAATTGGAAAAAGGTGGAGGTCAGACATTGATAGTGCTGTGGACTGCTCCAGGGACGTAAGCATGATCTTTAGAGAGGTGACTCTAACCAGTCAAGGGCAACCACTGGACAGAAAGAAGTCCAGACCAACCGTACACAGAGACATCATACAACTACACTTTAGCAACCTCTCCAAATAACATGTCTCTTAGTGAAACTTGGGAGGTTGAAAGTTAAAAACAAAATCCAGTGGCATTTATGTATCCTAGGCACTTACATTTGTCTGATTCTTCCAACTTGCCTTTGCTTGCTTAGAGTTTTGGGTAGATAAGAGGTGGATTTACATGTGCTAGTGTGAGAACTTTGATAGACTCATTTAGACATTGACCTACTATCTTGATGTTTGAAAGCTAAAACCCAAAGAAATTTGTCTTTTTACATAAAACAAATTCAGCCCTTGCCTTCCTTGTGGATTACATCTTCCACTACCAGTAATAAAAAAGTAACAATATGCATAAGTCAAAGTATCTTCTTAGATCCTCTGTAGTGTTTTATTATTTAGTTGTGTTAATTAAAGTAACTGTCTCAAAATTTCAAGGAATTCCTGAGAAGCAATTCATGTTCAAAGGCTTCCCTCTTGTGACAATATGTTGCATGTTTTACTGTAAAAGTAATCTTATTTTACCTTATAACCTCTACAATAGAATTCATAACTGCATAAAAAGGAAATAAAACCTTACATAATTTTGAATTTTAAAAAGTACCTTGTTTATATGGCTCCTTTAGCTAATGAATAGTCAATTTGGTAAATATTCCAGTGAGTTGAAGGTTTGAATCCATCTCACTTAACTAGCTTGATGGATGCATTTCTAAACCTATACAACCCACTCCTCTGCTTTTAAAAAATTAAAGTTAGCTGTAGATTGAGGTGTCAGTGACACAGTTTATAGAACATAACTTAGATTGTCATCTACATTACTGTAACTATAAATACCACCCTCAGATGGAAGAATCAGTTTTATCAGTGAACATCTCTAATTGAACTATAAATGGTGTATGTTTTCTGGCTTTTACAAGCTCTTGGTCTAACACAGGGGATATATGATGTAAAAATTACAAAGCAAGGTCACTCACGGTGGCTCATGCCTGTAATCCCAGCACTTTGGGAGGCCAAGGCGGGTGGATCACAAGGTCAGGAGATCGAGATCATCCTGGCTAACATGGTGAAACCCCATCTCTACTAAAAATACAAAAATTAGCTGGGTGTGGTGGCACACGACTGTAGTCCCAGCTACTCAGTAGGCTGAGGCAGGAGAATCGCTTGAACCCAGGACGTGGAGGTTGCAGTGAGCTGAGATCGCACCACTGCACTCCAGCCTGGTGGCAGAACAAGACTCCATCTCAAAAATAAATAAATAAATAATAAAATAGCAGTGACTATAATGTTTTGTGATGTTAAACTTTGAGAGCTTTTTGTTTTCCTTTCTTTTCCCAAGTGCCTTTCCCAGTTCCAGGAGCAGAGTTATTCTAAGCCCACTGATGTAAAGGAATAGAAAGAAAAGGTTTGGTGGAAAACCTAATAACCTGCTATCTTTCTGTCTTTTATTTTTTAAAAGCTTGAGCATTTGGGAGAATTTGGAAAGATTGTGGAGTAAGTGCAAAGAAGGAATTTGCTAACAAAAATTATATAGGGTAAAATGAGTTTTTTCCAGGTTAGAAAATATCCACTCCCTACCCTCCTACATTCCTTTCCCATGGTTAAGAAGAGGAAAAAACAAAGGCCTCTTGGTGAGCAGTGGTGACTTAGGCAGTTTCTTAGAAATATTCTAGAAGACATAGTCATCTTTTAAAAAAAATAGCTACAAAGATATGTCTAAGCAGAAGGGACCATGGGCCAAATTACGTGTAGATTTTTGCATTCCAAATATGGTAAAGAAGAAGCAGGAAGCTGGGGGTCCTAAACAGGCCACACAGAAATGGACAAGGAAGAGGCCATCAGCAGCTTGTGGGGACAAGATGTCAAGCCCCAAATGTTAAACCCACCAACCATCCTCCAAATTCTGGCTCTGTTTAACAAGGCTGTGGTCTGACACTAGATGCTGCCTCAGTGACTAAAGCATAATTTCCCGTCTCCTGGGAGTGTTGACAGCTGACTCCTGGCAACAATACTCACAGCACAGTAAAGTTCCTTCATCCAAGTTCATGTCCCTTCTCAAGGCATCCCACATCCGAGAACTGCTTGGTACAGAAATATAATGGCCTGGTTTTCTTGCTCCAATTCGAGTTCATTAGGTAAACTCACCAAGATCCCTGTAGAGTGGACTGCGGCCATGATAGTGATTGCATTCCAGCCGACTTCCTGCTCCACCCAATCCTATTGCTTTCACTCTTCCACAGGTGTTGGGAATATCATTTCAACCTCCTTGCATGCAAATCTCCAACTCGGAGTCGGCTTCCTAGGACACCTGACTGGTGATATCTCTATCACTATCACAGTACTTAGAGGGGAGCATCTTAAAATGATTGAAGGCTAACTGCCCTACCAACACAGGGAGATGGTGGCTTAAAATAGAATTTAAGTGGATTTAAAAAAACACGAAAAAACTTGACATTGCACGCTCATATGAGCTTATGGATCAAACCATGTGTATGATTTCTAAGATCCCTCGTGCAGTATATATTTGCACTGTTTATAAATGACATCCCCTTGAATTGAATTCAGTGCAATTCAAAACAGTAATTTGTGGGAAAAATTAGATATGCAGATAGCCTGGACTCTAGGGAGGCACGCATCATTTGGAGAATAATAGTGAACCGGCTGGTCTATGAGGGAAGAAAACAGAGTGAATATAGACTATTAGTGAACAAGGATATTTTCCCATGTATATTCAAATTAAGGTGAACTTCTTTAGAGAATTGTGCCTTAGAAAGAAAAAGTATTTCCCTATATTTGAGTCCTCACAAGTTTTCCTACGATGAGTGCTTTTGTGATTATTTTGAATAACAAAGTAATATTTAAAGAAACTCTCTTGCCCTGAATGTACTTTATGTCAATTGATGTTGCATATAGAGAGCATCAGAGTCAAGCCACAAGAAAAGGAGGAACATAACTTAGCAAAGACTTAGAGGATTAGTCCTAATAGTGTGAAATCAAAAGTTCAAGTGAGGGAATAAATGCAGCCTTTAATGATTACTTAAATGAAGTTTAACTCTAGCAGGATCTACAAGAAATTGGCAACCTTTGGCTTCAGTAACAGAAACTCAGGATATATGCCCTTCAGTGCTTTTGTATTCTGCATCATATTGAGAGAGACTCCTTTAAACAAGCAATAAGAAACTTCCTGTGACAACATAATAAATTCAAAAAGTTCTGTAACTCAGACAATTTAGATAGAAGTGAGGACTTTGGCCTAGACAGCCCTGTTCACTCTAAAGATGGATTAAACAAGGAAAAATATATTGATATCAAAAATTCAATCAGGAATTTGATTAAAGCATTTCATTAAATGTGATAATTTCTTAGTATATTATCTTACATATGCAATATTCATGTGTAACAAATTAAATACAAGTAAACATTTGAGCATATTATCTGCAGCATAATTTACATATTCAGTTTTGCTTACATGAAAACTTCGATCTTCTCAATAAGAAAATTTGTGAAATCTTTAATTCCTCATCCCCAGGAATGTAAATAAATAAATATAAATATTGTAAGTCAGTGATTTTTTCCTAGGAAGACAGTAAAAATACTTTACACGTCTTCTCATTGTAAACCTAAATAACAAACAGAAAGGCTCTCTAAACGAAAAAGACACATCTTAGGGAGGAGGGCACTGCAATGGGAATATGCATGACAAAGCAAACTGTGTAGATTCAAATGGTAAAGGAAGACAAGGTCTTTAAAAGAAAAGCGATCAACCTGGAATTATGGGGGAGTAGAAAAAAAATAAATAAAGGAAAAATGAAGAGGCTTCTATAATTGTTTTGATATAGTTACCTTTGACTATAAAGATCAACAACAAGGTCGATGTCAGTTGAAGTTTGGGCAGGCGGTTGCTGGATACATGTCCTCACAGAAGTGTATTTTGTGTAAGGTTGCTATGGCCTTTGTGCAAGGTTGTGGATTTTGTGGTATTTTGTGACAGTTTGTATCAGGCCTAGAAGCATGAGAACCCTCTCTTCAAGGCCTTCTCTGAATCTATTTGTCCAGGTTTTTTCTTTTCTTTTTAAACATTAGTGACAGTTTTGATTCTGATAACTTTTATATCATGATCCTAATTTCAAAAAAAATTAAACGTGTAACTTATTTATGATGTATTTGATAGGCTTGGATTTGTGAATCACCTCTACTGTCTATAGTGGTAGATATATCTGAGCCTGCTTACACAGCACTTCCATCAGATTCTCTCTTCAGTGGAATTGGAAGAGGGGGTTTTGGAGAAGGGAATGAAGGAATTGTGCTGCATCAGAGGTCCCCACCTAACAGCACAGGGACTTTTTCTGTGCTCTTGCCAGGCCGTTGTATTAGGCTGATGCAAAAGTAATTTTGGTTTTGTCATTGAAAGTAATGAGACCATCTGACTTACAATGTCTGTGCCATAACCAGCTCCTAATAGCCTCTGAGGACAGCTTTGCCCTGACATATACTGTCCTGGGACCACGTCTGCTTTGTAACTCCTGAGGTAGCTGCCACCAAGACCAATGCCTTCTCATCTTTACTCTACATGCAGGTAACAGTTATAATTATATCTCTGTGTATTCACAGAACATTTAGTACATCTGGGACTTCTACAAAATTTCCCTAGCTGATTTTGGTGTTCTAGTGTCCTGGCAGCGCTAGCCATGAAGGGATGATGCTTTATCAGCATTTCTGTTGAGTTTTTTGCTTTTTCTCACAAACTGATTCCACTTTTCCCACATACGTTTGACAATTCATTTGAACTCATTTCACGGTTCGGGTGATGGGTGCACCCAAATCTCACAAATAACCAGTAAAGAACTTATTCATGGAACCAAATACCACCATACCCCAATAACCTATGGGAAAAAAAAATAAAATAAAATAAAAAAGATTCAGAAAAAAAGAAAATAATCACTGTACTTACCATGACACTTAGAAATGTTGGCTAGCATTATTTGTGTCACCTAATAATATAATTTTTTTTCCTTATGCTACAAACTAGCTCTGCTATTACAATCACTACTATTTGAAGTGTTACTAAATTTAATTAAATTTATTGTATCCTTCTGGACTCAGATATGGGAGTAAATGCTAAGACAATTTCAGAATATGATCACATATTAAAAGCATATTATATGGGGAAAATGTGATTTTTAAAACATAGAAATTGGTAGAGAAACAGTTTTTGGATCTCTTTAATTTCCACACATTTTGCAAGTGTGGACGCTGACTTTCTTGTTCTAAATGATTATTTTCAAGCATGTTTGTATAGAAAACACCCTTGGAATAGAAAACCAGTACCTCCTTCTGGAACAAAGGAAAATTTTATTTACTGTCTAGTATAATGCAGATAATTTCTCCCTCTTGGGAAGGGTACAGCCAAGTGAACTTCCCATAATACAAGTTTGGGTTTCTTGAGCTTGGGTTTTTCTTCCACAATGTAATGTGCAGGTGCCACTTGGCTCTATTTGTGTTATCCTGGGAAAGCTGATGGCTGTAGGTGCATGTTTATTTTGGGGTTCTCTATTCTGTTGCATTGGTCTTTGTGTCTGTTTTCATATCGCCACCATGCTATTTTGTCTACTGTGACCTTAGGGTATAGTATGAAGTCAAGTAATGTGATGTCTCCAGCTTTGTTCTTCTTGCTTAGGTTTCCTTTGGTTGTCTGGGCTCTTTAAAAATCCATACGAAATTTAGAATAGTTTTTTTCTGATTCTGTGAAAAACGACATTGGTTGTTTCATAGGAATAATGTTGAATGTGTAGATTGCTTTTGGCAGTATAGCCATTCTAACAATATTGCTCTTTCTAATCCATGAGCATGGAATGGTTTTCCATTTGTTTTGTCATCAATGATTTCTTTCTGCAGTGTTTTATAGTTCTCCTTTTAGATATCCTTTACCTCCTTGGTTAGACATATTCTTCTTTTATTTTATTTTGGGGGTTGCTGTTGTAAACAGGATTGCACTCTTGACTTACCTCTCAGTTTAAATATTTTTGGTGTACAGAAATGCTACTTCTTTTTATATGTTGATTTTTTTTATCCTGAAACTTCGCTGAAGTTTTTTTTATCAGTTCTAGGAGCCTTTTGGCACAGTCTTTAGGGTTTTCTAGGTGTAGAATCATATCATCAGTTAAGAGAGATAATTTGACTTCATTTCCTATTTGGATGCATTTTATCTCTTTCTCTTGCCTGATTGCTCTGGCTAGGACTTGTTGAACAGGAGTGGTGAGAACAGGCATCCCTATTTTATTCCTGTTCTTAAGGGGGACGTGTTAGGAGAAAAGCTGAGTGTTGGAAGAGAAGCTGAGGCAGGGCCATATGTTTCTCATTCACTTGATACTCCGTTTCCTTTCAACCCCCACATCCTCACCACCTGTTTCTTTGTTTGAGCACCAATAAATAGTGTGGGCTCCCAGAGCTTGGGGACTTTGCAGACTCCACACTTGTGATGGTCCCCTGGTCCCACTTTCTCTCTCAAACTGTCTTTTTCTCATTCCTTTGACTCCACCGGACTTTGTCACCCCCATGACCTAGTGTTGGGTCTGATCACCCCAGCATTCTTGGCGCCCAACATGGGATGACAAAGACCCTGATGAAGGAAGGCTAGAGCATGTGAAAGCAGAGGACACATCATCAAAAGACACCCGAGGACATACAAAGATGGTGAGTGAAAGTTAGCACTTAGAATTTGTTATCACTCTTTAGTACAGTAAAACAGTTTTGCCCATGGTTTCCAGAACAAAGGAGTATGAAGTTAGATGAACGGGAGAGAATTGGAAGAGATTTTTAAAAGGCATATAAAGATGGAGCAAAAATTCCAGTTTCTGTATGGTCAGTGTGGGCACTAATAAAGGCAGACTTTGAGCCATTTCAAAGAGATGATGAGGCAGAGTCAGATGAGGAAGAGGAGGATGAGTGTAAAAAACTAACTTCAAATTCTGAGTGTGAAGAACAGCTACCGGAGGAGATTAAAGAAAAGAAAGACTTTAAAAAGTATGTTTTACTAGCCCATTTGCTCCACCTGCTGAATTAAGTGAATGGCCACCTCTTCTCTCTCCCCTAAATGGGTGAGAAAATAAATTAGCTGAAAAACTTACTGCTCCTGTAGTTGCAACATTAAAACCTGGAGCAATTGGTGGAGCTAGACAAAATTCTATTCAAAAAGCTAAAGCCAAGGGAGACCTTGAAGCATGGCAATTTCCCGTTACTATAATCCAGCAAGTAGGACAGAATATAGCTAATTAGGCTGTTTTTTCTTTTAAGTTACTAAAGAATTTAAGCAAGCCATTAGTCAATATGGACTGAACTCTCTTTTTGTGCAAACTTTATTAAAAAATATG
The DNA here is from genome assembly GCF_000001405.40 of Homo sapiens. Taxonomy (NCBI): domain Eukaryota; kingdom Metazoa; phylum Chordata; class Mammalia; order Primates; family Hominidae; genus Homo; species Homo sapiens. Next base: position 99,261 of record NT_187506.1, on the reverse strand, counting down.
GCTCTTGGTAATAGATTACTACTATAAAATTAGGATACTTTGACAAAACCTGTTCTCACTCCATCTCAGTACTTGCAGTTTAAAACTTGGTAGGCTGATGAAGCTCAAACTCAGGCAAATGAAAACACAGAAGTGCAGCCACCTGTGCCTGTTTTCTTTGATCAGTTAATATGAGTTGGCCCTAACCGGGGTTGATTAGAGAATCAAGCAGTAATGGAAGATGTTGCCATTGTTCAGCTGTGCTTCATGTGCTTACAGGCATAGAAAAGGATAAATGTTACAGGGGAAAAGTATCCTTATTTCAGTTCTGTCTGACAAGGACCTAAACAACCATATATTAATTTTATTGCTCAGCTCCAAGAGGCTGTGTATAAAGCCATAAATGATAAAAACAGCTCAAGATGTTGTAATACAGCTTCTTGCATACAATAATGCTAATGCAGAGTGTCAAACTGCTATTAGACCCCTGAGAGAGAAGGCTCATTTAACTAAATATATTAAGGCTTGCGATGACATTGGAGGTAACTTACATAAGGCTATTCTTTTAGCTCAGGCTATGGCTAGATTAAGAGTAAGAAAAAATATGCTTCATTTCTCAGGCTCTTGCCTTAATTGTGGGCAAATTGGACACAAGAAAGGAATGTAGAAAGGAATTAAAAAGACGAAAACTACTACCATCAATCAACAGAAAAGTCCCAGTGTATGTCCCTGGTGTAAGAAAGGCAATCACTAGGCAAGTCCGTGTCATTCTAAATTTAGCAAAGATGGGCAACCTCTTTCAGGAAATAGGAAGAGGGACCCACCTTGAGCCCCTCAACAAACCGAGGCATACCCAGCACAGCCACTGCCCTTACAAATGTACAACAATTGTCCCCCGCCTCAGCAAGCAGTGCTGCTGTAGACCTCTACAGAACAATTCCCATCTCCTTACTTCCTGGGGAGCCACCAAAGAAGGTCCCCACAGGCGTTAGGGCAGCCTTACCCTGAGGAACTGTTGGGAACAAGACCCCTCAAATCCGGCCATAAACTGGCCCCAAAACTGGCCATAAACAAAATCTGTGCAGCACTGTGACATGTTCATGATGGCCATAACACCCACGCTGTAAGGTTGTGGGTTTACTGGAATGAGGACAAGGAATACCTGGCCCGTCCAGGGTGGAAAACCACTTAAAAACATTCTTAAGCCACAAACAATAGGATGAGTGATCTGTGCCTTAAGAACATGCTTCTGCTGCAGTTAACTAGCCCAACCTATTCCTTTAATTCAGCCCATCCCTTCGTTTCCCATAAGGAATACTTTTAGTTAATCTAATATCTATAGAAACAATGCTAATGACTGGCTTGCTGTTAATAAATACGTGGGTAAATCTCTGTTCAGGGCTCTCAGCTCTGAAGGCTGTGAGACCCCTGATTTCCCACTTCACACCTCTATATTTCAGTGTGTATATCTTTAATTCCTCTAGCGCTGCTGGGTTAGGGTCTCCCCGACCGACCTGGTCTCAGCAAGTGATGCAAATTCATGGGGGCTCGAATATAGGTCAAAGGATCGCTGGAGCAACGATTGGAGAATGTGGAACTAGCTGGAGGACACCTGAGTACTCTTAAAGCAATCCCCGTGGTGAGTAAGAAGGGGAGCTCGGAAGCTTCAGGGTAACAATGGGACAAGTGTGGGCTGTGGTTCGTTCTACCTTGGAACTTTTTCACACTGATGATGAGGAGGAAGGAGAGTATAACAAAGTAACAGTAGAGGTTACAGACCAGGTTTATTTGCCACCTAAATCTAAAGCAGAAAAGGAAGGAGAGGTTCATCCCTACCCTTCTGCACCCCCTCATTATTATTTTGAAGAAAACGACCCTCCAGATCTTTCTTTTCTGGAGGACACTGGGTGAAAAGTAGTTACCCTGGTGACTGTTCGAGCAGCGCCTTGAGCGACTGCTCTTAGTTCTATTCAGGCAGGAATTCAGCAAGCTAGACAAAAGTGGGATTTAGAGGCTTGGCAGTTCCCTGTTTGAATACACCCCGCAGATCAACAGGGAAATATTATAGCTACATTTGAGCCTTTTCCTTTTAAATTACTCAAAAAATTTAAACACGCTATAAATCAGTATGGACCAGGTTCTCCTTTTGAAATGGGACCGTTAAAGAATGTTGCTGTTTCCAGTCAGATGATTCCTACTGACTGGGACACTATTACTCGAGCTTGTCTAATTCCTGCTCAGTTCTTACAATTTAAAACTTAGTGGGCAGATGAAGCTTCCATTCAGGCTGCTCGCAATGCCTGGGCCCAACCTCAAATTAATATAACTGCAGACCAACTTTTGGGGGTTGGTGGCTGGGCTGGTTTACATGCACAAGTGGTCATGCAAGATGATGCCATAGAACAGCTTAGAGGAGTGTGCATTAGAGCTTGGAAAAAATCACTTCATGTGGAGAACAATACCCTTCCTTTAGTGCTATAAAACAGGGACCAAGAGAAACATGCGTGGATTTTGTAGCTTGGTTACAGGAATCTCTTAAAAAGATGATTGCAGATTTGGCTGCTTAGGATATACTTTTGCAGTTATTAGCTTTTGACAATGCTAATCACTATTGCTAGGCTGCTCTGCGACCTATCAGAGGGAAAGCACATTTAGTTGATTATATCAAGGCCTGTGATAGTATCAGAGGTAATCTACATAAAGCTACTTTGTTGGCACAGGCGATGGCAGGACTGAGAGTGGATAAAGGAAATACTCCATTTCCTGGAGCTTGTTTTAACTGTGGGAAGCATGGTCATACTAAAAAGAATGTAGAAAAAAAATCAGCGAGTAAGGCCACCAGATAGGGGAAAAAAGAAAACTGCTGATCCTGAAATATGTCCAAAATGTAAAATAGGAAAACTTTGGGCTAATCAGTGTCACTCTAGGTTTGATAAAGAAGGGAATCCGATTTCAGGAAACTCCCTGAGGGGCCCATCCCAGGCCCTGTTCTAAACCAGGGCATTTCCAGCTCAGGCTATTCCCTCACCCCCGTACATTATCTGTCCCCCACCACAGGCCATAGTGCCACAGTAGATTTATGCTGCACAAAAGCTGTGAGCCTTCTGCCTGGGGAACCCCCGCAAAAGGTCCCAACAGGAGTCTGTGGACCGTTGCCAACAGGGACAATGGGATTACTTTTCAGAAGGTCTAGTTTAAGTTTAGAAGGGGTACAAATACACACTGGAGTCATTGATTCAGATTACAATGAGGAAATTCAAATTGTGATATCTACTTCTGTTCCCTGGAAAGCACCAGCCAGAAGTGCGCATAGCACAGCTCCTGAGTGTGCCGTATGTGGGAATGGGAAAAAGTGAAATTAAATGAACTGGAGGATTTGGAAGCACAAATAAAAAAGGCAAGGCAGCTTATTGGGTAAATCAAATTACTGATAAACATCCTACCTTTTAAATAACTATCCAGGGAAAGAACTTTAAAGGTTTGGTAGATAATATTTTTTTTTTGGTAGGAGCAGACATTTCAATCATTTCTCTACAGCACTGGCCGTCCACATGTCCAATTCAGCCCACTCAATTTAACACAGTGGAAACTGCTAAAGCCCCAGAAGTATATCAAAGTAGCTATATTTTGCATTGTGAAGGGCCCGATGGACAACCTGGGACTATTCAACCAATTACAACTTCTGTACCTAAAAATTTATGGGGGAGAGATTTATTATGACAATGGGGAGCACAAGTTCTAATTCCATAACAATTACACAGCCCTCAAAGTCAGCATATGATGCACGAAATGGGGCATGTCCGTGGAATGGGAGTAGAAAAAAAATTTGCAAGGTTTGAAAGAACTGCTTCAAACGGAAAGACAAAGTTCTTGCCAAAGATTAGGATATCATTTTTGATGGTGGCCATTGTTAAGCCTCCAGAACCTATACCTTTAAAATGGTTAACAGATAAGCCAATTTGGATAGAATAATGGCTGCTAAGCAAAGAGAAACTGGAAGCTTTAGAGAAAATAGTTACTGAACAATTAGAAAATGGGCACATAGCTCCAACATTTTCCCCTTGGAATTCTCCAGTTTTCATAATTAAGAAAAAATCAGGTAAATGGAGAATGTTAACTGACTTAAGAGCCATCAATTCAGTTATACAACCTATGGAAACATAACAGCCAGGATTGCCTTCTCCTACTATAATTCCAAAAAATTGGCCTTTAATAGTCACAGATTTAAAAGACTGTTTCTTTACTACCCTTTTAGCTGAGCAATACTGTGAACGGTTTGCATTTACAATTCCTGCAGTAAGCAACCTGCAGCCTGCGAAGTGTTTTCATTGTTTCACAGATGGGTATAGTAATGGTAAAGCTTCTTATTCTGGATCAAAAGGTAAAGTTTTCCAGACACCCTATACTTCAGCTCAAAAAGTGGAGCTTGTAGCTGTAATTGAGGTATTGACTGCTTTTGATATGCCTATTAATGTGATTTCTGATTCTTCATACATGGTTCACTCCACACAGTTAATTGAAAATGCTCAGTTACAATTTCATACAGATGAACAACTGATAATAAAAACAAAAAAGGGGGAGAAACAGGGATTAAGGGATAGCCCATATACAATTGAATCTAGCATTATTAACTTTCAATTTTTTAAGCCTGCCCAAAGGCCAGATGTTATCAGCAGCTGAACAGCATCTACAGAAAGCAGCTGCGAAGACAGAAGCAGAATAACTGGTTTGGTGGAGAGATCCAATAACAAAAAGTTGGGAAATAGGTAAAATTATAACTTGGCATAGAGGTTATGCTTGTGTTTCTCCAGGACAGAATCAACAATTGATTTAGATACCATCAAGATTCCTGAAATTTTATCATGAACCAGATGCTGAGGAAGAGATAAAAAGCACAATCATCATTGAAATTAGAGCCTCTGGCTGGGCGTGGTGTCTCAAGCCTGTAATCCCAGCACTCTGGGAGGCCGAGGTGGGTGGATCACAAGGTCAGGAGATCGAGACCATCCTGGCTAACACGGTGAAACCCCGTCTCTACTAAAAATACAAAAAATTAGCTGGGTGAGGTGGCGGGCGCCTATAGTCCCAGCTACTCAGGAGGCTGAGGCAGGAGAATGGTGTGAACTCGGGAGGCAAAACTTCAGGTTTTCCCAAGAATGACACTGTAAATGTAACAAAGCTTCTGTGCTTGTTAGTGAACACCAAATCAGCTACTCTCCTGTATTCGGAGATAAGGATGAAATGAAAAGAACAAGCAGGCCGGGCGCGGTGGCTCATGCCTGTAATGCCAACACTTTGGGAGGCTTAGGTGTGTGGATCACCTGAGGTTGGGAGTTCGAGACCAGCCTGACCAACATTGAGAAACCCCGTCTCTACTAAAAATGCAAAATGAGCTGGGCATGGTGGCACAAGCCTCTAATCCCAGCTTGGGAGACTGAGGCAGGATAAGTTCTTAAACCTGAGAGACAGAGGTTGCAGTGAGGTGATATTGCACCATTGCACTCCAGCCTGGGCAACAAGAGTGAAACTCCATCTCAAAAAAATAAAAAATAAAAAAAGACCCCCAACCTTGTCTAGACTGTGGGGTTTCAGTTTCACCCCAGGGGTGTCCTGGTTGGGTTAGAATCCTGAATCTGGTTTGAGTTCGAATCCTAAAGAATAAAGGGAATAAAGGCTGTAGCCACTGAGATACTTAATCTGGTCTGGTTCTGGCTTTTGTGTGTCTATCTGTATTTTTGGTCTAAATATTTGGCCCAACAGAGGTTAAAGGCTTTGATGTTCTCAGCAAAAGCCTTGTGAGATCTCTAGTTTATCTGTGTGCTCAACTGGAACAAAGAGACTCCATAAACTAGAAAAACCTAAACAAAATGGCACATTTGAAAAATTGAGAGCCAACTCCTGTTTGTTGTTCTGTCCACCTCCCTCTCTCATTCCTCCTTCTGCCTTTGCTGTGGTCCCATGGTGTTTCTGTCCTTCTGGGGACCTGAGATTCAGTGTAGGAGTGAAGTCCATGATTTTAAAGCCTTCATGTCTCTGCTTTTTAACTCTGCCTGCTTTGCTGAGCTCTTATAATGAGAAATAAACCATTCAGAACAGAAACAACAGGGCATCAGAACACCAACTTCAGGCAGCGCTCCGGCAAGTACCTCCCTAGAGGGGAAGGGCTTACTAAAGGAGAATTAATCTTGAAAAGGCCAAAATGAGAAGCTCTAACCTTAAGCTTGCTAGGTTTTCTGGGACTGGAGCTGGCTATATATTATGGACCATTCTAGCCACACACACACACATACACACACACACACACACACACACATACACACATGTTTTTGAGACAGAGTCTCACTCTGTTGCCCACGCTGGAGTACAGTGTTGTGTTCTTGGCTCACTGCAACCTCCACTTCCCAGGTTCGAGCAATTCTCCTGTCTCAGCCTCCTGAGTAGCTGTGATTACAGGTGTGCACCACCATACCCGGCTAATTTTTGTGGTTTTAGTAGAGATGAGGTTTCACCATGTTGGCCAGGCTGGTCTCAAACTCCTGATCTCAAGTGATCCACCTGCCTTGGCCTCCCAAACTGCTGGGATTACAGGCATGAGCCACTGTTCCCAGCCTGTATATATATATATATATATATTCTTTTTCTTTTTGACACAGAGTCTTGCTCTGTTGCCCAGGATGGAGTATGGTGGTACAATCGCGGCTCACTGCAACCTCCGCCTCCCAGGTTTGAGCGATTATCCTTCCTCAGCCTCCTGAATAGCTGAGACTACAGGTGCACACCACCACACCCAGTTAATTTTTGTATTTTCAGTAGAGATGGGGTTTTGTCACGTTGGCCAGGCTGGTCTCAAACTCCAGGCCTCAAGTGATCCACCTGCCTCAGCCTCCCGTAGTGTTGGGATTACATGAATGAGCCACTGCACCTGGCCTCTAGTGCACACTTTAAACCTGACGGCCAAATTACATGAAAGAAAATTCAGAACTCAAATAGTTACTATTTTTAAAAACCCTAAAATGAAAAAGTCTCAGTTCTTTTGCCTATCTTTTTATTTCCCTGCCTACTTTGAATCTGCTGATTTGTCTACTGGTGTTGAGATAAGACTTACTGTCTGTGGTGTTACCAATTCAAGGTTACTTGGCTGAAGAAAAACAAAAGAATGAAACAATTCTTTATTTTTTTCTCTTTTTGAGACAAGGTCTCACTCTAAGGTCTCAATCTGTTCCCCAGACTGGAGTGCAGTAGTGGGATCATAGCTCACTGTTATCTCAAACTCCCAGGCTCAAGCAATCCTCCTGCCTCATCCTCTCTAGTAGAGGCGACAATAGGCATGCACCACCATGCCTGGTAATTGTTTATCTTATTCTTAGTAGAGATTGGGTCTCACTATGTTGCCCAGGCTGGTCTCAAACTCCTGAGCTCAAGTGATCCTCTTGCCGCAGCCTCTCAAACTGCTGGGATACAGGCATGAACCACTGTGCCCAGACAAAAGAGTTCTTTTATAAATACAAATAATTTAAAAAGTATTGATAAAATAAAAATAGAAATGTCTTCAGAATTTTCAGCATACATTTTTGTGTTTTATATTTACATTTGCTAGATATTTTAAGGTGCTAGGGTTTGGCATGAAGGTTATAAAGCTGTAAACACAGGAAAAAAAAGAATATTTGTTTATGTGATTTTTTAAATACATAAGGCCAATTTAATATGGTTTGTTGAACAAAAATAATGGAATTTTCTGTGTTATTGGTAAAATACCCATGTATTTAACTTTGAAGTCCTCACTTATGTGAACACCTGATATTCACAGGCTATAACATGGTTAACAATAAAATAACCTAGAAATGATGACTAGCTTTGTCTAATACCTCAGTTCTCACAAATACTCTAGATAAACTGTCAAAAATAAGTAAATGTAAATGGATAAATGTCTATACAAGACATCTTAATGTATTTTTGAAATTTTTTTGAGACAGTGTCTCTGTCTGTCACCCAGGCTGAAGTGCAGTGGCATGATCACAGCTCACTGCAACCTTGAACTCCTGCACTCAAGGGATCCTCCCATCTCAGCCTCCCAAGTAGCTGTTAATTACAGGTATGCACCACCATGGTCAGCTAACTTTTATTTTTTTTGTAGAGTCAGCATCTCACTATTTTGCTCAGGCTGGTTTCATGATACTCCTGCCTTGGCCTCCCAAAGTGTTGGGATTACAGGTGTGAGCCACCATGCCCAGCCTATTTTTGAAATTTTAGTTATGTTAAATTAAATAATAGATACTCATTAAATATCTGGGTTATTTCCAATTTAAGACTTACATTTTAGCCCAGGCACTGTGGCTCACGCCTGTAATCCCAACACTTTGGGAGGCCAAGGCGGGTGGCTCACCCGAGGTCAGGAGCTCAAGACCAGCCTGATCAACATGGTGAAACCCCATCTCTACTAAAAAATACAAAAAATTAGCCAGGTGTGGTGGTGGGTTCCTGTAATCCCAGCTACTCGGGAGGCTGAGGCAGGAGAATTGCTTGAACCTTGGGGGCGGAGGTTGCAGTGAGATGAGATCGCACCATTGCACTCCAGCCTGGGCAACAAGAGCGAAAATCCATGTTAAAAAATATGTTTTAGGAACACATAATTCTAAATTATGAAATTATTCTCATATGTAAGATACTGCTATATGACAATTCAAGATTTCTTGCTTCCTAGGTTTTCTATTAAAATAAGGGTTACTAAGTGTTAATATCTTGGTAGATATATGTGATTAAGACTACTAGATACAAGAGAAACAATTCTGTATGCAAAATGTATACCGGTTTTTTTTTCAGAGAAAGTAAATTCGCTTAGAGATTTTTAAGGATTATTTTAAATTGAAGGAATAAAAAAGATAGATAAAACTAAATGTGTATAAAAAGTTGGGAAAGATGAAAAAATTATACAAGGTTATTAAAAGTTTATGTAAATCTTACATCGAGGTCAAAACTGATTGAGATCAGATAGATTGTTTATAAAGTTTATTTAAATTAGCTGTAATATTAAAAAGAGTGATAAAATACTAAAAATTTTGGTTAAAACAACAAGGTTTTCTTAATGTATTTATTTGCTCATAAGAAGAGGTAATAAATATTGACTTTTAATCCTGAAATCTATTACTATAAAAACTTTTCAGATTTGTATATCAGAAGTTCAACTTCTCCTGTACTTTCATGTTACACATGACTCACAGATCACATCACTGTCTCCTGTTCCTTCTTGAGAAGGAATAAAAGGCTTGGGTTTCCTGCTTGGCTGGGATGATAACTCCTTCAGCTTTTTCATCAGGTCTAATTTTGTATTCTTGGCTTTTAAATATGTCTTAATTACTTCATGTAACCAGGAAACTTCCATGCTATCATTGTGAGCTATGGATCCCCACTGCTCTATGCTCTGGTTTTCCTGTTTACATTCCTTTGTAATATTATGCTCACTCATGACCCTGGACACACTCTTTCTATGTCTAATTAAATTAAAGTCTCCTTGTCATCGGAATTGACTTCCAAGTGATTTAAATTAGCTTCCCATAAGAAGACACAGTTATGCCACAGGAGTTTTACCCTTTAAATGACTGGCCTGTAATGAAGATTTTAGGTTTTATCAAGATAATCCATGTGTTGCCTTTATTTTTTTTTAATTACTTGGGAAAACTGAGGGTTTTCAGTTTTCACATCCATGTAACCTTCTATGTTGCTTTTGATGTCTTTTGGTTGTCATGCTAATTAAATGAATGACTGCTATTTAAAAATGACATGTGGCTGTGTGCAGCAGCTCATGTCTGTAATTCCAGCCCTTTGGGAAGCCAAGGTGGGTGGATCAGTTGAGCCCAGGAGTTCAACTCCAGCCTGGGCAAAATGGCAAAACCCCATCTCTACTAAAAATAAAAAAGCTAGCTGTGTGTGGTAGCACGTGCTCATAGTCCTGGCTACTTGGGAGACTAAGGTGGAGGATCACCTGATCCTGGGAGGTTGAGGCTGCAGTGAGCCATGATTTCACCACTGCACTCCAGCCTGGGCAACAGGGTGAGACCCTGTCTCAAAAAAATAATAAAATTAAAAACAATAAACTGTCATTCTGTTTTGGTCAAATCTTTTCAATTTTTTTACATCTTTGTTAAAACTTAGTTGATAACATTGTATGGCAAGCATTGCCAAAAGATAAGTAACACTAAATCTTCTTTTTTTTTTCTCTCTGAGACAGAATCTTGCTTTGTCACCCAGGCTGGAGTGCAGTGGCATGATCTAGGTTCACTGCAACCTCTGCCCCAAGGTTCAAGCGATTCTCCTGCCTCAACCTCCCAAGTAGCTGGGACTACAGACACATGCCACCACGCCCGGCTAATTTTGTATTTTTAGTAGAGACAAGATTTCTCCATGTCGGCCAGGCTGGTGTCGAAATCCTGACCTCTGATGATCTGTCCAACTTGGCCTCCCAAAGTGTTGGGATTACAGGCATGAGCCACTGTGCCTGGCCTAAATCTTCTTTTGGTTACATTTATAGGTATATTATTAATATAAATATTTTAAATGTTATATAAATTATAAAAATCTGATATGGTATCAGTGATAATTTTGATGATGTTAAATATTCTCTAAAGTTGTATATGTATAGATATATTATTAATATAAATATTCTAAAGATTGTATAAAATTTGTGGAAGTCTGATGGATCTGATGTGTTGCCGTCAGTCATGATTCTGGCTGTTATCTTAAAATGCTACATATAATAGAAATAACTAAATTTCCTCACCAGTTGAGAACTTCCACTGGATTTTAACCAAAGGCTCTTCTAAGTTTTTGTCATCCACGGTGATTGTTTAAAGTTCTTCTCTAAAACCCTTTACAGGCCAGGCGCGGTGCTGAAGGCCGTGCAGGGCACGGTGGCTCGCGCGTGTAAAAATCCCAGCACTTTGGAAGGCCGAGGTGGGTGAATTGCTTAAACTCAGAAGTTTTAAAGCAGCCTGGGCAACATGGTAAAATCCTCTCTCTACAAGAATACAAAAATTAGCCAGGCATGATGGTGCATGCCTATGGTCCCAGCTACTTCAGAGGCTGAGGTAGGAGGATGGCTAGAGTTTGGGTGGGAGAGATTGCAGTGAACCAAGATCATGTCACTGCACTCCATCCTGAGTGATAGAGCCAGACCGTGTCTCAAAAAAAAAAAAAAGTCTTTACAATCAGCTATCATCTAAATTACTTTTAATGGAAAGGACTCTGACAAGTTCTCTTAAATATGGTTTCAGATAACTTTGGGGATCATACCATTGGACTATGAAAATCTTCCAGGACTCTAAAAAGCTGAATGAGAATTTCCAATTGAAATCAAGCAGAACACAAAAAACTGAATGAGAATTGCTATTTGAAATCAAGCAGAACAAGCTGTAGTTACATGGGACTGAACTTATAAAAGAAGGAAAAGATTTTATTCATGGCCTTTCCATTGGAAACATTGTTGATTCTCTTTATGTTTTGTTTTCCAAAGTCAAGAATTTTTTTTCTTTTCAGCTATTTTTAACTTACAATATATTAGATAAACTACATTGTGAACAAAAATTTGAGCCATTTATCTGTCTCTCTAGCTGATTTCTCCAGAATTCAGAAGCCATTCGTGAGCATTCTTAAATTATGGCAATATAATTATTTGCATAATTTCAATAAGAATCTGTTTTTGGTAACAAGATTCAATTGGAGACACTGTTTGTTTTATCAAGGCTTTAACTTGAATGGCAGATACAACCAGACCACTTTAAGGAATTGAGGTTGACTTTATAGCACCAATACAAAGCCCCTTAGAATGACTGGCTTGATGTCCTGTCTACAAGGATCCTTTACAAATTTGCTGTCCTTGTGGTAAGAAGTAAAGAATGTCACTTTCTGACGGGCCCAGGAACCTCAAGATATTTGGGGACCTTGAGAAGAGAGGACTACACCCATTCATAAAAGTATTACAGGAGAGCTGGCAAGATGTCTGAATAGGAACAGCTCCGGCCTGCAGCACCCAGTGAGATCAACACAGAAGGCAGGTTGTTCATGCATTTCCAACTGAGCCTCCACTGGTGACACCCAGGCAAACAGGTCTGGAGTGGACCTCCAGCAAACTCGAGCAAACCTGCAGCAGAGGGACCTGACTGTTAGAAGGAAAACTAACAAACAGAAAGGAATAGTATCAACACCACCAACATCAAAGACCAAAGGTAGATAAATCCACAAAGACGGGGAGAAACCAGTGCAAAAAGGCTGAAAACTCCAAAAGCCAGAATGCCTCTTCTCCTCCAGAAGATCACAACTCCCCGCCAGCAAGGGAACAAAACTGGACAGACAATGAGTTTGACGAATTGACAGAAGTAGGCTTCAGAAGGCGGGTAATAACAAACTCCTCCGAGCTAAAGGAGCATGTTCTAACCCAATGCAAGGAAGCTAAGAGCCTGAAAAAAAAGGTTAGGCGAATTGTTAACTAGAATAACCAGTTTAGAGAAGAATATAAATGACCTGATGGAGCTGAAAAACCCAGCACAAGAACTTCATGAAGCATACACAAGTATCAATAGCTGAATCAATCAAGCAGGAGAAAGGATATCACAGATTGAAGATCAACTCAAAGAAATTAAGCAAGAAGACAAGATTAGAGAAAAAAGAGTGAAAAGAAATGAACAAAGCCTCCAAGAAATAGAGGACTATGTTAAAACACTGAGTCTATGTTTGATTGGTGTACCTGAAAGTGACAGAGAGAATGGAACCAAGTTGAGAAACATTCTTAAGGATATTATCCAGGAGAAATTCCCCAACCCAGGAAGACAGGCCAACATTCAAATTCAGGAAATACAGAGAACGCCACTAAGATACTCCTCAAGAAGAGCAACCCCAAGACACAAAGTCATCAGATTCACCAAGGTTGAAATGAGGGAAAAAATAATAAGGGCAGCCAGAGAGAAAGGTTGAGTTACCCACAAAGGGAAGCCCATCAGACTAACAGTGGATCTCTTGGCAGAAAGCCTACAAGCCAGAAGAGAGTGGGGGCCAATATACAACATTCCTAAAGAAAAGAATTTTCAAGCCAGAATTTCATATCCAGCCAAACTAAGCTTCATAATTGAAGGAGAAATAAAATCCTTTTCAAGCAAATGCTGAGAGATATTGTCACCACCAGGCCTGCCTTACAAGAACTCCTGAAGGAAGCACTAAACATGGAAAGGAACAACTGGTAACAGCCACTGCAAAAACATACCAAATTATAAAGACAATTGACACTATGAAAAAACTGCATCAACTAATGAGCAAAATTACCACCTAGTATCATAATGACAGGATCAAATTCACACATAACAATATTAACCTTAAATGTAAATGAGCTAAATGCCCCCAATTGAAAGACACAGACTGGCAAATTGGATAAAGAGTCAAGACCCATCAATGTGCTGTATTCAGGAGACCCATCTCATACACATAGGCTCAAAATAAAGGGATGAAGGAACATTTAACAAGCAAGTGGAAAGCAACAAAAAGCAGGGGTTGCAATCCTAGTTTCTGATAAAACAGATCTTAAGCCAACAAAGATAAAAAGAGACAAAGAAGGGCATTACATAATGGTAAAGGGATCAATGCAACAAGAAGAGCTAACTATCCTAGACATATATGCACCCAATACAGGAGCACTCAGATTCATAAAGCAAGTTCTTAAAGACCTACAAAGAGACTTAGACTCCCACACAATAATAGTGGGAGACTTTAACACTCCACTGTCAATATTAGATAGATGAGACAGAAAATTAACAAGAATATCCAGGACTTGAACTCAGCTCTGGACCAAGTGGACCTAAAAGATATCTACAGAACTCTCCACCCCAAATCAACAGAATGTACCTTCTTCTCAGCACCACATTGCACTTATTCTAAAATTGACCACATAATTGGAAGTAAAACACTCCTCAGGAAATGCAAAATAATGGAAATCATAACAAACAGTCTCTCAGACCACAATGTATTCAAATTAGTATACAGGATTAAGAAACTCACTCAAAACCTCACAACTACATGGAAACTGGGCAACCTGCTCCTGAATGACTACTGGCTAAATAACGAAATGAAGGCAGAAATAAAGATGTTCTTCAAAACCAGTGAGAACCAAGACACAACGTACCAGAATCCCTAGGACACTTTTAAAGCAGTGTGTAGAGGGAAATTTATAGCACTAAATGCCCACAAGAGAAAGCAGGAAAGATCTAAAATTGACACCTTAACATCAAAATTAAAAGAACTAGAGAAGCAAGAACAAGTAAATTCAAAAGCTAGCAGAAGGCAAGACATAAATAAGATCAGAGCAGAATTGAAGGAGATAGAGACACGAAAAACTCTTCAAAAAATCAATGAATCCAGGAGCCGGTTTTTTGAAAAGATCAACAAAACAGACTACTTGCCAGACTAGTAAAGAAGAAAAGAGAGAAGAATCAAATAGATGCAATAAAAAATGATTAAGGGGATATCACCACTGGTCCCACAGAAATACAAATTATCATCAGAGAATTCTACCAAGACTAAACCAGGAAGAAATCAAATTCCTGAAAAGACCAATAACAGGTTCTGAAATTGAGGCATTAATCAATACCCTACCAACGAAAAAAAATCCAGGACCAGACGGATTCACAGCCAAATTCTACCAGAGGTACAAAGAGGAGCTGGTACCATTCCTTCTGAAACCATTCCAAACAATAGAAAAAGAGAGAATCCTCCCTAATTCATTTTATGAGGCCAGGATCATCTTGATACAAAAACCTGGCAGGGACACAACAAAAAAAGAAAATTTTAGGCCAATAGCCCTGATGAACATCAATGCAGAAATCCTGAATAAAATACTGGAAAACTGAATCCAGCAGCACATCAAAAATCTTGTCCACCATGACCAAGTTGACTTCATCCCTGGGATGCAAGGCTGGTTCAACATGCAAATCAATAAATGTAATCCATCATATAAACGGAATCAATGACAAAAACTACATGATTATCTCAATAGATGCAGAAAAGGCCTTTGACAAAATTCAACAGCCCTTCATGCTAAAAACTCTGAATAAACTGGTATCGATGGAACATATCTCAAAATATTAAGTGCTATTCATGACAAACCCACAGCCAATAACATACTGAATGTGCAAAAACTGGAAGCACTCCCTTTGAAAATCAGCACAAGACAAGGATGCCCTCTCTCACTACTCCTATTCCACATAGTGTTGGAAGCTCTGGCCAGGGTAATCAGGCAAGAGAAAGAAATAAAGCGTATTCAATTAGGAAAAGAAGAAGTCAAATTGTCTCTGTTTGCAGATGACATGATTATATATTTAGAAAACCCCATCGTCTCAGCCCAAAATTTCCTTAAGCTGATAAGCAACTTCAGCAAAGTTTCAGGATACAAAATCAATGTGCAAAAATCACAAGCTTTCTTATTCACCAATAACAGACAAACAGAGAGCCAAACTATGAGTGAACTCCCATTCGCCATTGCTACAACAAGAATGAAATACCTAGGAATACAACTTACAATGATGTGAAGGACCTCTTCAAGGAGAACTACAAACCACTCCTCAAGGAAAAAGAGAGGACACAAACAAATGGAAAAACACTCCATGCTCATCGATAGGAAGAATCAATATCATGAAAATGGCCATACTACCCAAAGAAATTTATAGATTCACTGCTATCCCCATTAAACTACCATTGACTTTCTCCACGGAATTGGAAAAATATATTTTAAATTTCATATGGAATCAAAAAAGAGCCCGAATAGCCAAGACAATCCTAAGCAAAAAGAACAAAGCTGGAAGCATCATGCTACCTGACTTCAAACTATACTACAAGGCAACGGTAACCAAAACAGCATGGTACTGGTACCAAAACAGATATATAGATCAAAGGAACAGAACAGAACCCTCAGAAACAACACCACATATCTACAACCATCTGATCTTTGACAAACCTGAGAAAAACAAGCACTGGTTAAAGGATTCCTTATTTAATAAATGGTGTTGGGAAAACTGGCTAGCCTTAGGCAGAAAGCTGAAACTGGATCCCTTCCGTACACCTTATATAAAAATTAACTCAAGATGGATTAAAGACTTAAACTTAATACCTAAAGCCATAAAAACCCTAGAGGAAAACCTAGGCAATACCATTCAGGACGTAGGCATGGGCAAAGACTTCATGACTAAAACACCAAAAACAATGACAAAAAAAACAAAATTGACAAATGGGACCTAATTAAACTAAAGCGCTTCTGGAAAGCAAAAGAAACTGTGAGAGTGAACGAGCAACCTCCAAAATGGGAGAAAATTTTTGCAATCTATCCATCTGACAAAGGGCTAATATCCAGAATCTACAAAGAACTTAAACAAATTTACAAGAAAGAACAATCCCATCAAAAAGTGGGCAAAGGATGTGAACAGACACTTCTTAAAAGAGGACAATTATGCAACCAACAAACATATGAAAAAAAGCTCATCATGACTAGTCATTAGAGAAATGCAAATCAAAACCACAATGAGATACCATCTCATGCCAGTTAGAATGGTGATCATTAAAAAGTCAGGAAACAACAGATACTGGAGAGGGTGTGGAGAAATAGGAATGCTTTTACACTGTTGGTGGGAGTGTAAATTAGTTCAACCATTGTGGAAGACAGTGTGGCTATTCCTCAAGGATCTAGGACTAGAAATACCATTTGGCCCAGAAATCCCATTACTGGGTATATACCCAAAGGATTATAAATCATTCTACCATAAAGACAAATGCACACGTATTTTTATTGCAGGACTGTTCACAATAACAAAGACTTGGAACCAACCCAAATGCCCATCAATTATAGACTGGATAAAGAAAATGTGGCACATATACACCATAGAATACTATGCAGCCATAAAAAAGGATGAGTTCATGTCCTTTGTAGGGACATGGATGAAGCTGGAAACCGTCATTCTCAGCAAACTAACACAAGAACAGAAAACAAAACACCACATGTTCTCACTCATAAGTGGGAGTTGAACAACGAGAACACAAGGACACAGGGAGGGGAACATCACACACTGGGGCGTGTTGGGGGGTGGGGGCGGGGGGAGGGAAAGCATTAGGACAAATACCTAATATAGGTGATGGGTTGATGGGTGCAGCAAACCACCACAGCACATGTATACCTATGTAACAAACCTGTGCATTCTGCACTTGTACCCCACAACTTAAAGTATAATAAAAAAAAAGTAGGTTAAAAAAAGTATTACAGACACAGTCTGATGCAAATCTTTGACTTGGCTAGTCTCAAGGCTTTTAAAAGTCTAAGATTCCTTATTAAATAGTTCCAACAAAGCCAATTTTAAGAAGCCTATATGGTCAATAAATATTCTTGCTGCACTTTATGCAAATAATCAGGCCAGGTATGATAAGACTAAAACTTATTTTGCACAGAAATTTGTCCTACTATGATTTGTCTTTGATAAAATGATGGACTAGAGAGAGAAAATTTATGTTCCAAAAGAAAACTGTGACATATGCTATTAGATTCCAGCCCTGATCATTTTTTCTGAGTTTTTATTATTTGCCTATAATTTGGTCTGAATCCTGAATTATTTCCTGGCTCCAAGTGTTCCCTAGTGAACCCAGATATAATATATTTTATAAAACTTGTTTTATCCTGTCAGGAATGAGATGTATTTTTGAAGGACTACTTAAACTAGCAATTACAATTCGATTATTATGATTATAGAATCTCGGGATTTCTCTTCCTTCTTGTCAAGGTCTTTACCTGATGTTTGTCTCATTAAAAAAAAAGAAATCAGACTGATTACACTCTACTCAAGACTGAAGACATGTACTTTAACATGTCTCTGTTACCAGTAATCCAAAGCCTTAAATTTCAGAATCCATCAGGGACCCTGTGTGGTCCCTGGATCAAGCACACATGGGCTTATGAATGTGTTGACCACTGGCATATGAGAGGTAATTGTCTATTAGGTTATGTGGCTCTTCCTCTTTCTATTTATAACTCCAATGTTTCTGAACGCTGAAGTAGTTCATTGAAATTATTTTCCAGGATTAGACAAACTGTACCTGCAAACCAAGGAGATGAATTTTGGCCTATGTTTGGCAGAAGTCTCTTGCAATGGTGGGGAGTAACCTCTCATGAACGTATAATTAGAAATCTGTCAACCACTCTAGGTAACTTAGCAAATGAACTAGCTGAAGCCATAGCTACCAAATAAAGATCTTCAGACTCTTTAGACAGGATAGTCATGGATGACGGAATAACTTTAGGCTACATAGTGGTGAAACAGGGAGAAGCTCATATGGCAGCTAGCTAACACATCATGTTGTGTTTAGATCCATACATCTTCTGAAGTTCAAACACATGTAAAAAAATAAGATGATATGGGAATTAATTATGACAAATCCTAGGGAAGAGGCTGAAAGAGCTGTAACACAAACAGGGCTGAGACATGCCCCTTGCTCACCACATTGTGGGCAAAGAGAAGGAAAGAAGAGCTGTGGCCCTTTGGGGAGCCCAGACCTGGGAGCTCCCCGAGCCAGGTCCTTCTTTGGGGCCCTTTGGTTCCTGATATCTCCAAGATTCTGGGTGCCACTGTGTTCCCAGTGTGCCAGCTATGGAAGCTGGTTGAGGTGCCCGTGATCCAGCCACAGCCTTGTGGAGAGCTGGCGTCCGTGTTGGCACTTGGAGCCACCTGCCCCACTGCAGCAGCCAGCAGATCTGACTGCACAGTGGCCAGACCCCATGCTCACTCACACACCCCTTGCCACTCCACGCAGTCTCCCTTGGCAGGCATGGGATCCAACGTGGTAGCATGAGCTGAGCACAGCCTGCCAGGCTGAGTGTGCAGGGCCCAGCAAAGCTCGGGCAAAGGTGCCACCAGCCATAGAGGTTTCTGTCCAGAAAAGTAACACCCCAAAGATCCCGTAACACCGCTACTCTTCCCAGCCTCTGGAAACTCTCAGTCTACTCTCTATCTTGATGAGTTCAATTGTTTTAATTTTTAGCTCCCACAAATGAGTGAGAACATGTAAAGTCTGTCTTTCTGTGCCTGGCTCATTTTACTTAAAATAATGTCCTCTAGTTCCATCCATGTTGTTGCAAATGACAGAATCTTATTCTTTTTCATGGCCGAAGAGTACTCCGTTGTGTATATGTACTACATTTTCTTTATCCCTTCATCTGTTGATGCACACTTAGGTTGCTTCCAAATCTTGGCTATTATGAATAGTGCTGAAATAAATATGGGAATGCAGATATCTCTTTGATATACCAATTTTCCCTCTCTTGGGTATATACCCAGCAGTGGGATTGCTGTATCATATGATAGTTCTATTTTTAATTTTTTGAGGGACCTCCATATTTTTCTCCATAGTGAATATACTAATTTACATTCCCACCAACAGAGTAAGAGAGTTCCCTTTTCCCCACATTCTTGAAAGCATTTGTTATTGCCTGTCTTTTGCATAAAAGCCATTTTAATGGGGTAAGTTGCTATCTTATTGTAGTTTTGATTTCAATTTCTCTGATGATCAATGATATTGAGCATCTTTTCATATACCTATTTGACATTTATATATCTTCTTTTTTGTTTTTGCTCATTTTTTGAGACAGCGTCTCACTCTGTCGTCCAGGCTGGAGTGCAGTGGTATGATCACGGCTTAATGTAATGTTGACTGCCAGGGTTCAAGCAATCCTCCCACCTCAGCCTCCTGAGTAGCTGGGACCACAGGCAGGCATCACCATGCCCAGGTAGTTTTTAAAATTATTTGCTATGTTGTTCAGGTTGGTCTTGAACTCCTGGGCTCAAGTGTCCCACCCGTCTTGGCTCCCCAAAGTGCTGGAATTACAGGTGTGAGCCACTGCGCCTGACCTGGGTGCCTTCTTTTGAGAAATGTCTGCTCAGATCTTTTGCCCATTTAAATAATTGGATTGTTAGTTTTTTTCTTATAGAGTTGTTTGGGCTCCTTATATATTCTGGTTTTTAATCCCTTGTCAGATATATAGTTTGCAAATATTTTCTTCCATTCTGTGGATTGTCTTTTCACTTTGCCCATTGTTTTCTTTACTATGCAGAAACTTTTGAACTTGATGTGATACCACTTGTTCATTTTAGCTTTGGTTGCCTGAGCTTTTGGAGTATTACTCAAGAAATCTGTGCCAAGACCAATTTCCTGGAGAGTTTCCCTAATGTTTACTTTTAGTAGTTTCGTGTCTTTGATTTAAGTCTTTAACCCATTTGGATTTGATTTTTGTATATAGTGCAAGAGGGGGTTCTAGTTTAATTATTCTTAATTATTCTGCCAATGACTTTGGGAGGCCGAGGTGGGCAGATCATGGGGGCAGGAGATCGAGACCATCCTGGTTAACATGGTGAAACTCCGTCTCTACTAAAAATACAAAAAAAAAAAATTAGCCAGGCATGGTGGCGGGCGCCTGTACTCCCAGCTACTTGGGAGGCTGAGGAGGAGAATGGTGTGAACCCGGGAGGTGGAGCTTGCAGTGAGCCCAGATCGCGCCACTGCACTCCAGCCTGAGCAACAGAGCTAGACTCCATCTCAAAAAAAAAAAAAAAAAAAAAATTCTGCCAATGAATATCTAGTTTTCCCAGCACAATTTGTTGAAGAGACTATCCTCTCCCCCATGTATATTCTTGGCACCTTCATTGAAAATGAGTTAATTGTAAATGTATGGATTTATTTCTGGGTTCTCTATTCTGTTCCATTGGTCTATGTGTCTGTTTTATGCCAGTACCATGGTGTTTTGTTTACAATTGCTCTGTACTATAATTTAAAGTCAGGTGATGTGATTCTTCCAGTATTGTTCTTTTTGCTCAGGATGGCTTTTGGTATTCTGGGTCTTTTATGGTTTCGTATAAATTTTAGGAATTTTTTTCTATTTCTGTGAAGAGTGTTATTAGTATTTCAATAGGGATTGCATTGAATCTGTAGATCGCTTTGTGAAGTATGGGTATTTTAACAATATTTACTCTTCCAATCAATGAACATGGACTATCTTTCCTTTTTTTTTTTTTTTTGGTGTCCTCTTTAATTTTTTTGCATTGATGTTTTATAGTTTTCATTGTAGAGATCTTTCACTTCTTCTGTTATGTTTATTCCCATATATTTTATTTTATTTGTAGTTATTGTAAATGGGATTACATTCTTGATTTTCTTCTTTAGATTGTTCATTTTTGTCATTTAGAAATGCTACTGACTTTTGTAGTTTGATTTTGTATCCTGTGACTCTGAATTTGTTGATCAGTTCTAATAGTTTTTTGGTGGAGTCCTTAGGATTTTCCAAATATAAGATCAAATCATCTGCAAACAAGAAAACAGTAATAATTTTACTTCTTTCTAATTTGGATCCCTTTTATTGTTTTTCTCTTGTCTGAATTGCTCTAGCTAGGACTTCCAGTACTATGTTAAGTAACAGTGTTGGAAGTGGACATTCTTGTCTTGTTCCAGAACTTAGAAGAAAGGCTTTCAGCTTTTCCCTGTTCAGGATGATACTGGCTGTGGGTCTGTTGCATATGGTTTTTATTGTGTTGTGGTATGTTCCTTCTATATCTAGTTTTTTTTTGAGGGTTTCTTTTTATCACAGGGATGTTGAATTTTATTAAATGCTTTTTAGCATCAATTGAAATTATCATATGGTTTTTGTCCTTCATTCTGTTGATATGATGTGTCACATTCATTGATTTGCATATGTTGAACCATGTTGGCATCCTCGGGATAAATCCCACTTAGACATGATGAATGGTCTTTTTCATAGGATGAGTTTGGAAATACTACAGCCTTCTCTGTTTTTTGGAATAGTTTGAGTAGGATTGATAGTAATTCTGCCTTCAATGTTTGGTAAAATTAATCAGTGAAGCCAGTGAAGCCATTGAATCCAGGCTTTTCTTTGCTAGGAGATGTTTTATTTTGGCTTCAATTTCATTTATCCATTTCTTCTAGGTTTTTTTTTTTTTTTTTGAGATGGAGTCTTGCTCTGTCACCCAGGCTACAGCGTGGTACAATCTCAGCTCACTGCAACCTCTGCCTCCCAGGTTCAAGTGATTTTCCTGCCTCAGCCTCTGGAGTAGCTGGGAGAACAAGTGCATGCCATCATGCCTGGCTAATTTTTGTATTTTTAGTAGAGATGGGGTTTCACCATGTTGGCCAGGCTGGTCTTGAACTCCTGACCTCAGGTGATCACCTGCCTTGGCTTCCCGAAGTGTTGGGATTACAGGCATGAGCCACGGTGCCCAGCCATTTCTTCCAGGTTTTTCAATTTATTGGAATATAGTCAGTCATAATAGTTTCTAATGATTCTTTGAATTTCCACAGTATCAGTTATAGTGTCTCCTTTTTAATCTCTGTTTTTATGTATTTGAGTCTTCTCTCTTTTTTCTTAGTCTGGTTAAATGTTTGTTGACTTTGTTGGTCTTTTAAAAATATTAACTTTTCATTTCATTGATATTTTATATTTTTAAATTTCAATTTCATTTATTTCTGCTCCGATCTTTGCTATGTTTCCTTCTACTAATTTTGGTTTTGGTTTGCTCTTGCTTTTCTAATTATTTAAGATGCATTATTAAGGTGTTTATTTGAAGCTTTTCTACTTTTTTTTGATGTAGGTGCTTTTTTCTACAAACTTACCTCTTAGTACTGTAGTACTGTTTTTACTTTATCCCATAGGTTTTTTTTTTTTTTTTTTTTTTGAGATGGAGTCTCGCTCTGTTGCCCAGGCTGGAGTGCAGTGACGCGATCTCGGCTCATTGCAAGCTCCGCCACCCGGGTTCATGCCATTCTCCCCCCTCAGCCTCCCGAGTGTCTGGGACTACAGGCACCCACCTTCACGCCCGGCTAATTTTTGTTTTTTGTATTTTTAGTAGAGACGGGGTTTCACCGTGTTAGCCAAGATGGTCTCAATCTCCTGACCTTGTGATCCGCCTGCCTCAGCCTTCCAGAGTGCTGGGATTACAGGCATGAGCCACTGTGCCCGGCCTGTACCCCATAGGTTTTGGTTTGACTTTAAACTTTTTCTTTTCTCGAAAACTCAGTGTCATGATACCGGCTTCTTGTGCTTTGGGCAGTGAGACCCTTTTACTTGATAACAGTGGTAGCTGGGACAACTTGGCAACGTAAATAAATAAACGGCATCTAGATTGCAAAGGAAGAAGTACAGTTGTCTTTATGTACAGATGACATGATCTTGCATTTAGAAAATCATAAGAAATTTACTAAAAAGTGTTAGGACTCATGAACAAATTTAAGAATGTAACACTATATAAGACTGGTATACAAAAATAACTGTATTTCTTTACCAATAAATCAAGAATCCAAAAATGGAATTACAAAAATAAATCTTGTTACAATAGAATTAAAGCTGGGGAAGCTTAAACTTGCACACTAAAAACTACAATACATGGTTAGCATTGGAAACACCCAGATACCATCCCTGAGCCTTCTCTCCTTGGCTCTGAGGGCTTTACCTTCACGGGGTGAGGAAAGGGGTTGCATTCTTGGCTTTTACATTATATTAGGTGGGTTCGGGTTGAGGTATCTGCAATTCAAATGAGTATTACAATCTCTACTTTTATGCATAAGAGACTGAGGGGAACCAAGAGAGGGAATGACAGTCCATATCCTGGAAGGCGAATTGTCAGGCACTGATTTCCACTATGTAACCCCTGCCAATCACCGTGTATTTAAAGAATCCCCAGATACCATACCAATAGGTGTTCAAGAGAGAGGCCTGTAATCTAGGCGTCTGAGAAAACAAGGCTAGAGATTCCAATATTGGAGACAACAGGGCTCTGGGAAGATTAAGGTTGAGTTTTCTGGATCTGCAGAATAGAGTCACTGAGGACCAATTGCAAGATCAGAGGAGATGAAAGAACAAGTCAGGGCATGCTCAGGAAAAGAGAATACCAGGGATAGGTTTTAGGCAAGAGTCACACTGAGGAAGGGCAGGTTCTTGGCGTCGCTCAGGAAGAAATCCAAAAGCAAGACTGTGGTGGAAGAAAGCAGCTCTACGGAGGCATTGGCGGTGTTACAGCCCTGCGTCCACTTCGGCAGGGCAGAGAGCCCTCCGTGGGTTGTGCTCCCAGAGCAGCAGCCTAGGGGTGGCTTGTAGTCATTTTTATAATTCACTTTTAATGGCATGCTAATTAAGGGGCGGGTTATTCAGAAATAGCTAGAAATGGGCAGCAACTTCCAGCTGTTTCCATGGCAAGGGGTGGGGACTTCCCGTGCTGCCATGTCATTGGCAAGCTGTGATGGCACTGGTGGGAGCGTCTTCTGGTGATCTGAGGAGTGAGGTACTTTTGCTCCCTCTCCCAGTTTCCTGCATGCCTCCTACCTGAAAGCCCTTCACACCCCCATCTGCCCACCTACAAACGTCACTGCCCTTTCACCCCACCCCCGTTTCACACGCACTCCCACATCAACCCTGAGTATTCAAGCCTGCGTTTCCCTGTTAGGAACCTCAGTGGTAGCTGGAGCTCTGAGAAACCCCTAGGCAGAACTCTTTGCCTAGTTTGTAGCAGAAATCAGGGAAGGAAAGGCAAATTTCAGGTCTGTCTCACAATAAATAAATAAAGATAGGTAGATTTGATTGATTGATGGATGGATGAAACGTGGGAGTTTGTGGGCAAATATTTATCAGACACTGGAAGTGTAAGTTGTCACAAAGATTATGGAGTGCACCTGTCTTATGACCCTGTTATTTTATCCTAGTATATGCACTAGAGCATATTTTCTAACTGTGTAAATTGAAGGCTCACAAATTAGTTTAGTGAGAGAAAAGATAACGGATTGGAAGAGAATTACCATGTTCATTAGTTGTGTTTTTAAAATTTTAAAGTAAAATAGAGACATGATTTTTTTCATGCTTTCGAATGCATCTATAAAAATATACTTGAGGGCTGGGAGCAGTGGCTCACGCCTGTAATCCCAGCACTTTGGGAGGTCGAGGAGGGCAGATCGCGAGGTCAGGAGTTGGAGACCAGCCTGACCAACATGGTGAAAACCCGTCTCTACTAAAAATACAAAAATTAGACAAGTGTGGTGGTGCGCGCCTGTAATCCCAGCTACTCAGGAGGCTGAGGCAGGAGAATCGCTTGAACCCGGGAAGCGGAGGTTGCAGTGAGCTGAGATTGCACCATTGCACTCCAGCCTGGGCGACAGTGAGACTCCGTCTCAAAAAAAAAAAGTTACTCATTAATAGCATAGACCAATTGGCCTCTATTGAAATTTCTCCATTTTTTTCACAATGTCCCAGGCTGTGAAACCAGGATTTAATAAAGAACCAGAATGCCACATCTGTGTCACCTGGGTAGGGACCAGTCCTGATCCATTAAGTCCGGGTCTCTGGGTAACTGAACTCAACTGCTGGGCAAAACAGAATGTCCTGCGTGGGTTCCTAATGGGGGACCGCAGAGCCTCATGGGAAATGTAGTGTCACCTTCCAATGATGTTACCATCAAGGACCTTGGGAACCAGCTTTTCTCTCTGCGCTTGCGCTGCCCGGCCCACTCCGCCATTTTCCTCCGGAAGTGCGGCACCCAGAGAGGGTCCTGTAGCTGGGCCGGCTTGGGGCTTTGTTCTATGTCCCTGCGGGTCGGTGCGAGGGCGAAGAGGAACCCGTGGGTCTCGGGGGATCCCGGGGGGCCGGACCAGTGTTCCCTAGTTGTGGGAGCAGATGCGTGGGCGCATCGCGGGCGGGCAGGGCCTGAAGTGCAGGTGCGGGCCGTGGACCCTGGCGGGGGCTAGGATGACAGGCGTGTGGTCCTGTCAGTGAAGCGGGTTCTAGAGGCGCAGGAACGGGTAGGCGAGGCCGGTGGCCCTGGGCCCGGAGTCTGCAGGCCAAGCTCCTGTCCTGCCGCTTAGGGACCCGGTTACCAACCCTCATGTCGCTCAGTTTGCCCATGTGTCCCGGTGCTAACACACAGTTCTCGGGAGATGTTCCCCATTCCCAGAGGAGTAGTGCGAAATGCGTGCTCCTCTAGTCTTAAACTTGGCGTTTGTATTAGTTGGGTTTCCTGGTGTCTCTTTAGCAAGTGAAGTTTCTGGTTCCCTCCTTCACTGTGTGACCTGCCTAGTCCTCCTGGGTCGCATTTACAGAAGTTTATACGAGACCTAGTTTCCAGGGAAGAACTCACTGATTCCGCGAGGGAGATGGTGTAATGGGTGATGGTAGTCAGCCTTAACGGTACTTCAGTCTTAACTGTGTGTTACAAAGTTTGAAAGGGAGGGTTCCCTATGAATAAGAAGTGCACTTGAAAGAACAGCCATCTGGTCTAACCTCTCACTGGTGCTTCAGAGGAGGAAAAAAGGTCACAGGTGAAGAACCCAGTTTTCCTCGCTCAGGAAATATTAATTCTACTCCCTAGAATGCACAAGATTTGCAAAGACTAGGTGATAGCAGAAGGTTTGGACGAACCTTCAGAAGGTTGAGGTGAATTCAGCTGAGAAGAACAGGCAAGGACTTAGGAAATATTCCTTATTTGAAGGGGCCTGAAAGTGTGGTCTGGGGTGCAGGAGTGACCTGTCATACTTGAGAAGATTAAAATACTCTCCAAACACAGTCCCATTCCTTCAACCTTAGCTCGTTTCTTCCAGCGTCTGAGATATATTAAACCTAGTCCATCACCAAATTTAGCATTAGATTGCGAAGTTCTATTGATTGTATTTGATTTGTAATTTAAGATTTTCTCTCGCTACGTAATTTTGTTAAAAACACAAGTGAATTCTGTTCACTTAGGTGTAACAGTTAATACTTGCTGTTTAAGGAACTAATTAAACCTTACTGGCTTATAAAAAACCACCATTTTATTTGTTTGAAGTTCTGTGGATCTGCATTTTGGTGTGGTGGATTCAGCTGGGTAGTTGATATATTTGTGTTGCCTGGATCACAAAAAGGCCTTAGTCACCTGGTGCCTTGACTGAGTCTGGTTGGTTTAAGATAGTTTCCTTCACAATCTGGTGGTTTGTGGTGACTCTTGGCTAGGCCCTGTGTCTCCAACAGGGTAGCTCCAGACCTCTTCACAATTTGACTGTGTCCAAAATGGGAAGAACCAATGTATATTTGCATCACATTTTCCATTGTCCATTCACTGGACAAGTCAGATGGAAAAGCCCAATTTATTGTCAGAGCATAATATGAGGGCTTGGATAGAAGGAAAGGTGTTATTGGGAAACATGAGTAGAATGGTGTACTGTAGGAAATACATATTATGTACATTTTAAAAAACGTAATTGTAGGCCAAAATTGCTGGATTGCAAGATGCACTTTCCATGATGTTCAGGTATAGAAAAGCAAGATGTACTGTCATGGGAACACTCATATGAAGTTATTTGTGGAATCTACATATTAATAGGAAAATAGTTAATACAGCCTAGTATATTTCTATAACATTTATTTTAGTGAACTTATGTTTCTTTGTATTAAATTATTAGATTATATCTTTAGATAATATTGTTACTAAATTAGTAGGTAATACATGTTTTTATTCAAAAATAAATTGTGCATCTAATGTCTACCAATTAATGTACTTGTAGATGTATCATCTTAACTTGAGTCTTTGTTGCCCCTAATGGGGCATGAAGGACTCTTCTCCCATGGGGAAGTTTTTATTTTTCAGGAGGGAGGAGGGCTTTCCCAAGTAATGTGTCTAGAGTGTTGGGCAGAAGAATCTGGGACCACACCACACCAGTTCTCTCCTTAACCCACGTCATTTGCCTTCTATCCCAGCTGTGTTTCCAGTGTCCTCTGGGTGTTTCCAAGAGCAACAGGAAACGAATAAATCTCTGGTGAGTTGTTTATTTGTTCTTCACTTTGTTTTACACTGTATTTTCTGAGTTTATTGGTGTCTGTGAATTAAAAAGGAAAAGTAGAAATAAGTAAAACTCAGGTTGAAGGAAATATACATAAATAAGATAAAGCTGACCTGTAGATATAGGCAGGTTATAAGAGCTTAGAGTTGTCTAAGTTGGGTGCAAAGTTTCCTCTGATCTTTCTGATGCCGAGACAAAAAAGGCAGTCATATTTGTTACGTGATTGGAATGGAATCCGAGAAGAGAGCATGCTGTGTTCTTGTGGGACAGGAAAGCTTCTGTGCACCAAGTCAGAACCACCACCTTCATTGGTGACATAGATTATGTGCTGGAACATATTTCACACCGGCCTGGCAGTAACCACTTGTAGTGTTGTGCAGTGGAAACGGTCATCTTCCGCTAAAGCATGGCGTTTTGTGCAGTGGAAATGGTCATCTGCCACTAAAGCACAGCTTCCATCGTAAGGTATGCTCCTTGCTCAAAGAGTGTGGTCCCAAACAGCTTTTGGGAGGTCCTCCTTGATTCATGGATGAAACCTGGAACATCTTGAGGACTGAGTTAACCATAGGTCCTTAAATAACTCTCCACACCTTTTTCTTAGTTTATCTCTACATGCAGGGTGTGCAGCAGCCTGTTCAAAGTCATATTTTCTGGGAAATATTTCCAGTGTTTATTTGCACTTTAGCCCACTCTGTGTAGTCTTAACTTATTTCTTCTAAACTCACCATTAACCTAAATAATAGTCAAATTTAGGGGGACTGTATTTGCCTTACTCGAGTCTTCTACCATAGTTGAAACTGTCATACCTGAGTGAGTTAGAGAGAAACGCCACACTTTGAGACGAATTCAGGAGTCCTTTATTAGCCGGTGACTGAGAGACGGCCAATGCACAAAATTCTCTCGGCCCCGAAGAAGGGAATAGATTTTCTTTTATACTTTGGTTTAGAGAGGGGAGGGGGGATTCTAGCTGCAGCAACTTTACAGAAGAAAAAAACGACAAAAAAGTTAAAAAGACTGATGGTTACAGGAAAACAAACTGTTCCAGGTGCAGGGGCTTTAAATTCACCACAAAGTGATAGGTGAGGGGGCTCTGGGCATTATCTGCTGGACAAATGTGGGGGCTTTATGATACTATCTCTGAGTAATTTGCTGGGAACTGCCGACATCGCTTGTCTCAGCACTTTATCAGTTAATTGCACTCTTTGATATGTTGAAAATCAGTTTGCACAAGTTAAAGTCCTTGAGGAAAGGGGGTGGGTAAGGAGCCCTTGATGTCTTGTAAATGAAGGAGCCAAATAGAGTTTGTCTGGTTTTCTCAGCTAAGGGAGAGTCTATTCATATTAAAAACAAGGTTAGCTATCTAAGGAAGAGTCTATTCATGTTAATACAACGTTGGGTATTACAAAACGTCTGTTCATGACCTGGAAATTCTTCTGTGTTAGTTCTGTTAAAAGAAAAACTTTAAAGGAGTTTAATTGAGCAATAAACGATTCACGAATCAGACAGTCCCCAGAATCACAGCAGATTCACAGAGACTCCAGCGCAGTCATGTGGTGGAAGAAGATTTATAGACAAAAGGGAAATGGCATACCGAAATCGGAAGTGAGGTACAGAAACAACTCAGCGTTTGCCTTCTTTGAACACATTTTGAACATTTGGCAGTGCCTGAGTGGTTGAAGTTTGGCCATTGGGATTGGCCAAGATGTAGCTGTTGTTCCAGGTGCATACTCTCAAGTTAGTTTTTCATTCTTGTATACCTATTAAGGTAGGTTGCAGTTCATCCACAAGGACTCATATATAGAATTATGGAGTCCTTCTCAGGCCATACTTAGTTCACTTTAACAATGCCTTCCCTTTGGTTATTTTCTCAATTTTGAGAGATTGGCCAAAACTTCAGTCACTGGTGTCACTATTACCATTGCAAATGTACTTACTTGGTTTAGAAACCCACTGGGAAATAGACCAGTGAGATTTGAAAAGGTGGAACAAGGACTTGAGTAGAATATATCTTCTTATGCTGGAACATCCTGTTTACAGGAGAAAAACAAAACCTGGTTTGTTCTAGGATTTATGTGTTTCCTTAAAGTCTTAGTTTGATTATGTTACATTTAGCATGAGTGACTCGATTTTATTTGGTTTGGTCTGTTGGGACCTATTGCATGAGCTTAGTTCAAAACAATGGCCTCCCATAATTTTGCTTAAAAAATTCCTCCTTTTGGCTGGGTGAGGTGGCTTACACCTGTAATCCCAGCACTTTGGGGGGCTGAGGTGGGCAGATCACGAGGTCAGGAGATTGAGACCATCCTTGCTAATAAGGTGAAACCCCGTCTCTGCTAAAAATACAAAAAATTAGCCAAGTGTGGCAGCGGGTGCCTGTAGTCCCAGCTACTCAGGAGGCTGAGGCAGGAGAATTGCCTGAACCCGGGAGGCGGAGCTTGCAGTGAGCCGAGATCGTGCCACTGCACTCCACTCTGGGGGACAGACCAAGACTCTGTCTTAGAAAAAAAAATCCTCTTTTTCAGTCAAGTTCTCACTTAGTTGAGAGTGTGACCAAAATGTAGGGCCTTAACACCACTCTTAGTTACCATTGTTTTGGGTTCCGATTTTAGCACATCATTCCCATTGTTTTGGGTTTCTGGTTTAGCACGTCACTCCCATTGTTTTGGGTTCCGGTTTTAGCACGTCATTCCCATTGTTTTGGGTTTCTGGTTTAGCACCTCACTCTCATTGTTTTGGGTTCCTGTTTTAGCACGTCACTCCCATTGTTTTGGGTTCTGGTTTAGCACTTCACTCTCATTGTTTTGGGTTCTGGTTTTAGCACGTCACTCCCATTGTTTTGTGTATCTGGTTTTAGCACCTCACTCCCATTGTTTTGGGTTTCCAGGTTTTAGCACGTCACTCCCATTGTTTTGGGTTTCTGGTTTATCACGTCACTCCCATCGTTTTGGTTTTCTGGTGTAGCAGGATGCTCCCATTGTTTTGGGTTTCTGGTTTTAGCACGTCACTCCCATTGTTTTGGGTTTCTGGTTTAGCAGGACGCTCCCATTGTTTTGGGTTTCTGGTTTTAGCATGTCACTCCCATTGTTTTGGGTTTCTGGTTTTACACGTCACTCCCATTGTTTTGGGTTTCTGGTTCAGCAGGTCACTCCCATTGTTTTCGGTTTCTGGTTTAGCAGGACGCTCCCATTGTTTTGGGTTTCTGGTTTAGCAGGTCACTCCCATTGTTTTGGGTTTCTGGTTTAGCAGGTCATTCCCATTGTTTTGGGTTCCGGTTTAAGCACATCACTCCCATTGTTTTGGGTTTTTGGTTTAGCACGTCACTCCCATTGTTTTGGGTTGTGGTTTAGCACGTCACTCTCATTGTTTTGGGTTCTGGTTTTAGCACGTCACTCCCATTGTTTTGGGTGTCTGGTTTTATCACGTCACTCCCATCGTTTTGGGTTTCTGGTGTAGCAGGACGCTCCCATTGTTTTGGGTTTCTGGTTTTAGCATGTCACTCCCTTTGTTTTGGGTTTCTGGTTTTACACATCACTCCCATTGTTTTGGGTTTCTGGTTCAGCAGGTCACTCCCATTGTTTTCGGTTTCTGGTTTAGCAGGATGCTCCCATTGTTTTGGGTTTCTGGTTTAACAGGTCACTCCCATTGTTTTGGGTTTCTGGTTTAGCAGGTCATTCCCATTGTTTTGGGTTCCGGTTTAAGCACATCACTCCCATTGTTTTGGTTTCTGGTTTTACATGTCACTCCCATTGTTTTGGGTTTCTGGTTTAGCAGGTCACTCCCATTGTTTTCGTTTCTGGTTTTAGCACATCACTCCCATTGTTTTGGGTTCCAGTTTTAGCAAGTCACTCCCATTGTTTTGGGTTTCTGGTTTTGCAGGTCACTCCCATTGTTTTGGGTTCTGGTTTTAGTGCACGTCACTCGCACTGTTTTGGGTTCCAGTTTAGTACATCACTCCCATTGTTTTGGGTTTCTGGTTTAGCATGTCACTCTCATTGTTTTGGGTTTCCGGTTTAGTATATCACTCATAGGATATGGTGTCCTTATGGTTGCACTTTTTTTTTAATCACTTGTCATTCCAGTTGAAGAGATACCATTTGATATTTTAGAGATGCCTGCATGCAAACTCTTAAAACATTTGAGTAAGTACAGTGCACCAGGGAGACTCTTATGACTATTGGGATAACACCAAGAATTTGGTATATGCTCCTAACTCAGGGTCCCCATAAATCAAACCACCTAAAATCAAATAGATTAAAGAATGAATTAAAGAGTTTACTTGCTTAACTAAGTGGGTTTTTTGTTAATTCCCTACAACCGAATCTTTATAATACCCCATGTTTTCTCCACATGCTGTAAGTGTTAGCAGCTGCACAGATACTTAAGATAAGTGTCTCATGATAGTAGAGAAGTCTTGATCTGTGATCTTGGGAAAAGCTGTTCACATTAGGGATACCATCTTCTTCTGGGGGGAACTGTCCTTGTTAGCTTTACCTTAAGGGTTCCAATGGGTATATGGTTCCAAGTGTGGAAGGACCCTTCTGAGTTGTGAGACTATGAACCCAAAGTTTAAGGTTTTAAAGTTTTGCTGTCATGTGGATGGCAAGGGCAGTCCTTCTCTGATGTTCTCAGAAGATCCAGTCATCAGATTCTAGATTTTGAAGGGGTTGACTGTCCTCAGTGAGCCATAAAAGGCTTTCTTTACCTGGTGAAAATACACTTCAGGGTAATAATCTACTGTTTCAACATCAACTGTCTCGCATGGAAGAGCTTTTATACAATCAGAAAACATGCACTGAAAATGACAACTGAATGAAATCCCTTTATAAAATGTTTAAATGGCCCATCACATAACCAAATGTACCTGAAGTTTTGATTGTTTTCCTAGGAATATAGGTATGACAAACCAAACATTGGTTATAAACTATTTTAGCAGTTTAGAAATCACCACACCAATATATTTAATTTGGATCATTTTCTCTTTCCATGATGAGTTATGGAATGCAGAACTTTTAATAACAAAAGTTTTAAGGACTTAAGAAGGATAAGGTGGCCATCCTGGTTCTTCATAAGTCTGTGCTTAATTAACATTAGACTTACATCCTCTTGAATACCAGCTGTTTCTCCAAATTAGGTGTATGGTACTGGTAACTGATGAGTAGTTATAGGTGATTTGACTTAGACCATGGAGTTTATTTAAATTATATATCTAAACAATTTCAATATTGGTGATTTAGCATGCAAATGTGGCAAAATATTTCCTTGGTATACAATTTTTGTTTTACTTAGGTTAGCAGTTTTATAAACCAGTTGGTCTTTTTATTAAACTTTTGGGATTTTTTTTTTTTTTTTGAGACAGAGTCTCACTCTGTTACCTAGGTTGGAGTGCAGTGGCACAATCTTGGCTCACTGCAACCTCCACCTCCTGGGTTCAAGCAATTCTCTTGCCTCAGCCTCCAGAGTAGCTGGGATTACAGGCACATACCACTACACCCAGCTAATTTTTATATTATTAGTAGAGGTGGGGTTTCACCATTGGCCAGGCTGGTCTCAAACTCCTGACCTCAAGTGACCCACCGGCCTTGGCCTCCCAAAGTGCTGGGATTGCCAGCGTGAGCCGCTGCACCCAGCCTAACTTTTGAGAATTCTTAGCCAGTCCAATTCTTGGGGGATCGGGGAACTTATGGGGAATTTTTACCCATGATATTAAAGTTATTAGAAACCTGTGTTCACAAGTGTTTCTCAGGGTCCTTTTCTTTCTTTCATGGATCTTCTAAGAGACACCATATTCTAAAATTTTACATGCTTGTGAAGTTTTTAGAAACTGCATCACCATTAAGCAATTAACTGTGGAAATGACTTTAAATAGTTATAGTTAAAGACAATTGACAAGGAAATTTGGTTATTTCTGTGGTCTACAATAACTTAATAACCATAATTAGGGTGGATGTAGTGGCTCATGCCTGTAATCCCAGCACTGTGGGAGGCCGAGGTGGAAGGATCACAAGGTCAGGAGATCGAGACCATCCTGGCTAACATGGTGAAATCCATCTTTACTAAAAATACAAAAATTAGCCTGGCATGGTGGTGGGTGCCTGTAGTCCCAGCTACTCAGGAGGCTGAGGCAGGAGAATGGCATGAACCCGGGAGGTGGAGGTTGCAGTGAGCCGAGATTGCACCACTGTACTCCAGCCTGGGTGACAGAGCAAGATTCCATCTCAGAAAAAAAAAAAAATACAAGAATTTTAGAAATCCTATACAATTTTAGAATGGATTGATGACATACACTGAATATAACCTAAAGAAGGTTCAACATTATTTTTTATTTTGACAGTTCTAGCCATGTGACTTAACATGTTAAATAGTCCTGTTTACTTCTCTTTTGGGTACTTCAGGGGCCTCTGTAGTATCCCAAAGTTAGAGGTCAGAAAAAAAATTTTGAAGTTGAAATTTGATTTTGGGAAGCCTATTAAATATATTAAAGGTTTAAACACTTGATGTTATGAAATAGAATTCCATGTCAACGTAAGTCATTCATTTACCTAAAATCATGACTTAAAAAATTTTTAAAGGGCAAAAATCTTTACTCATTGATAGGGGGAAGACTTATTTCCACAAATAATCTGCCTCTTGTTTTTCCTTTTTTTTTTGGTAGTTTATTTACAAGGCAAACAAATTTTTCATTTTATTATTTTATTTTTATTATTATTATTATTATTATTATACTTCAAGTTTTAGGGTTTATGTGCACAATGTGCCGGTTAGTTACATATGTATACATATGCCAGTCTGGTGTGCTGCACCCATTAACTCGTCATTTAGCATTAGGAATATCTCCTAATGCTATCCCTCCCTTCTCCCCCCACCTGACAACAGTCCCCAGAGTGTGATGTTCCCATTCCTGTGTCCATGTGTTCTCATTGTTCAATTCCCATCTATGAATGAGAACACGCAGTGTTTGGTTTTTTGTCCTTGTGATAGTTTACTGAGAATGATGATTTCCAATTTCATCCATATCCCTACAAAGGACATGAACTTATCATTTTTTATGGCTGCATAGTATTCCATGGTGTATATGTGCCACAATTTCTCAATCCAGTCTATCGTTGTTGGACATTTGGGTTGGTTCCAAGTCTTTGCTATTGTGAATAGTGCCACAATAAACATACGTGTGCATGTGTCTTTATAGCAGCATGATTTATAGTCCTTTGGTTATATACCCACTAATGGGATGGCTGGGTCAAATGGTATTTCTAGTTCCAGATACTTGAGGAATCGCCACACTGACTTCCACAATCGTTGAACTAGTTTACAGTCCCACCAACAGTGTAAAATAGTTTCTATTTCTCCACATCCTCTCCAGCACCTGTTGTTTCCTGACTTTTTAATGATTGCCATTCTAACTGGTGTGAGATGGTATCTCATTGTGGTTTTGATTTGCATTTCTCTGATGGCCAGTGATGATGAGTATTTTTTCATGTGTCTTTTGGCTGCATAAAGATCTTCTATTGAGAAGTGTCTGTTCATATCCTTCACCCACTTTTTGATGGGGTTGTTTGTTTTTTTCTTGTAAATTTGTTTAAGTTCGTTGTAGATTCTGGATATTAGCCCTTTGTCAGATGAGTAGGTTGCAAAAATTTTCTCCCATTTTGTAGGTTGCCTGTTCACTCTGATGGCAGTTTCTTTTGCTGTGCAGAAGCTCTTTAGTTTAATTAGATCCCATTTGTCAATTTTGGCTTTTGTTGCCATTGCTTCTGGTGTTTTAGACATGAAGTCCTTGCCCATGCCTATGTCCTGAATGGTAATGCCTAGTTTTACTTCTAGGGTTTTTATGGTTTCAGGTCTAACATTTAAGTCTTTAATCCATCTTGAATGAATTTTTGTATAAGGTGTAAGGAAGGGATCCAGTTTCAGCTTTCTACATATGGCTAGCCAGTTTTCCCAGCACCATTTATTAAATAGGGAATACACTCCTTGTTTTTGTCAGGTTTGTCAAAGATCAGATAGTTGTAGATACGCAGCATTATTTCTGAGGGCTCTGTGCTGTTCCATTGGTCTGTATCTCTGTTTTGGTACCAGTACCATGCTGTTTTGGTTACTGTAGCCTTGTAGTATAGTTTGAAGTCAGGTAGGGTGATGCCTCCAGCTTTGTTCTTTCAGCTTAGGATTGACTTGGTGATGCAGGCTCTTTTTTGGTTCCATATGAACTTTAAAGTAGTTTTTTCCAATTCTGTGAAGAAAGTCATTGGTAGCTTGATGGGGACGGCATTGAATCTATAAATTACCTTGGGCAGTATGGCCATTTTCATAATATTGATTCTTCCTATCCATGAGCATGGAATGTTCTTCCATTTGTTTGTATCCTCTTTTATTTCATTGAGCAGTGGTTTGTAGTTCTCCTTGAAGAGGTCCTTGACGTCCCTTGTAAATTGGATTCCTAAGTATTTTATTCTCTTTGAAGCAATTGCGAATGGGAGTTCACTCATGATTTGGCTCTGTGTTTGTCTGTTTTTGGTGTATAAGAATGCTTGTGATTATTGTACATTGATTTTGTATCCTGAGACTTTGCTGAGGTTACTTATCAGCTTAAGGAGATTTTGGGCTGAGACAATCGGGTTTTCTAGATATACAATCATGTCATCTGCAAAGAGGGACAATTTGACTTCCTGTTTTCCTAATTGAATACCCTTTATTTCCTTCTCCTGCCTAATTGCCCTGGCCAGAACTTCTAACACTATGTTGAATAGGAGTGGTGAGAGAGGGCATCCCTGTCTTGTGCCCGTTTTCAAAGGGAATGCTTCTAGTTTTTGCCCATTCAGTATGATATTGGCTGTGGGTTTGTCATAGATAGCCCTCATTATTTTGAGATACGTCCCATCAATACCTAATTTATTGAGAGTTTTTAGCATGAAGCGTTGTTGAATTTTGTCAAAGGCCTTTTCTGCATCTATTGAGATAATCATGTGGTTTTTGTCTTTGGTCCTGTTTATATGCTGGATTACATTTATTGATTTGTGTATATTGAATCAGCCTTGCATCCCAGGGATGAAACCCACTTAATCATGGTGGATAAGCTTTTTTATATGCTGCTGGATTTGGTTTGCCAGTATTTTATTGAGGATTTTTGCATCAATATTCGTTAAGGATATTGGTCTAAAATTCTCTTTTTTGTTGTGTCTCTTCCCGGCTTTGGTATCAGGATGATGTTGGCCTCATAAAATGAGTTAGGGAGGACTCCTTCTTTTTCTATTGATTGGAATAGTTTCAGAAGGAATGGTACCAGTTCCTCCTTGTACCTCTGGTAGAATTTGGCTGTGAATCCATCTGGTCCAGGACTCTTTTTGGTTGGTAAGCTATTGATTATTGCCACAATTTCAGATCCTGTTATTGGTCTATTCAGAGATTCAACTTCTCCCTGGTTTAGTCTTGGGAGAGTGTATGTGTGGCGGAATTTATCCATTTCTTCTAGATTTTCTAGTTTATTTGCATAGAGGTGTTTGTAGTATTCTCTGATGGTAGTTTGTATTTCTGAGGGATCAGTGGTGATATCCCCTTTATCATTTTTTATTGTGTCTACTTGATTCTTCTCTCTTTTTTACTTTATTAGTCCTGCGAACAGTGTATCAATTTTGTTGATCCTTTCAAAACACCAGCTCCTGGATTCATTAATTTTTTGAAGCGTTTTTTTGTTGCTATTTCCTTCAGTTCTGCTCTGATTTTAGTTATTTCTTGCCTTCTGTTAGCTTTTGAATGTGTTTGCTCTTGCTTTTCTAGTTCTTTTAATTGTGATGTTAGGGTGTCAATTTTGGATCTTTCCTGCTTTCCCTTGTGGGCATTTAGTGCTATAAATTTCCCTCTACACACTACTTTGAATGCGTCCCAGGGATTGTGGTATGTTGTGTCTTTGTTCTCATTGGTTTCAAAGAACATCTTTATTTCTGCCTTCATTTTGTTATGTACCCAGTAGTCATTCAGGAGCAGGTTGTTCAGTTTCCATGTAGTTGAGCAGTTTTGAGTGAGTTTCTTAATGCCGAGTTCTAGTTTGATTGCACTGTGGTCTGAGAGACAGTTTGTTATAATTTCTCTTCTTTTACATTTGCTGGAGAGGGCTTTACTTCCAAGTATGTGGTCAATTTTGGAATAGGTGTGGTGTGGTGCTGAAAAAAAGGTATATTCTGTTGATTTGGGGTGGAGAGTTCTGTAGATGTCTATTAGGTCCCCTTGGTGCAGAGCTGAGTTGAACTCCTTGGTATCCTTGTGAACTTTCTGTCTAATTGATCTGTCTAATGTTGACAGTGGAGTGTTAAAGTCTCCCATTATTATTGTGTGGGAGTCTAAGTTTCTTTGTAGGTCTCTAAGGACTTGCTTTATGAATCTGGGTGCTCCTGTATTGGGTGCATATATATTTAGGATAGATAGCTCTTCTTGTTGAATTGATCCCTTTACCATTATGTAATGGTCTTCTTTGTCTCTTTTGATCTTTGTTGGTTTACAGTCTGTTTTATCAGAGTCTAGGATTGCAACCCCTGCTTTTTTTTGTTTTCCATTTGCTTGGTAGATCTTCCTCCATCCTTTTATTTTGAGCCTATGTGTGTCTCTGCACGTGAGATGGGTTTCCTGAATACAGCACACTGATGGGTCTTGACTCTTTATCCAATTAGCCAGTCTGTGTCTTTTAATTGGAGCATTTAATCCATTTACATTTAAAGTTAATATTGTTATGTGTGAATTTGATCCTGTCATTATGATGTTAGCTGGTTATTTTGCTCGTTAATTGACCCAGTTTCTTCCTAGTCTTGATGGTCTTTACAATTTGGCATGTTTTTGCAGTGGCTGGTACCGACTGTGCCTTTCCATGTTTAGTGCTTCCTTCAGGAGCACTTTTAGGGCAGGCCTGGTGGTGACAAAATCTCTCAGCATTTGCTTGTCTGTAAAGTATTTTATTTTTCCTTCACTTATGAAGCTTAGTTTGGCTGGATATGAATTTCTGGGTTGAAAATTCTTTTCTGTAAGAATGTTGAATATTGGCACCCACTCTCTTCTGGCTTGTAGAGTTTCTGCCGAGAGATCAGCAGTTAGTCTGATGGGCTTCCCTTTGTGGGTAACCTGACCTTTCTCTCTGGCTGCCCTTAACATTTTTTCCTTCATTTCAACTTTGGTGAATCTGACAATTATGTGTCTTGGAGTTGCTGTTCTCGAGGAGTATCTTTGTGGCATTCTCTGTATTTCCTGAATCTGAATGTTGGCCTGCTTTGCTGGATTGGGGAAGTTCTCCTGGATAATATCCTGCAGAGTGTTTTCCAACTTGGTTCCATTCTTCCCGTCACTTTCAGGTACACCAATCAGACACAGATTTGGTCTTTTCACATAGTCCCATATTTCTTGGAGGCTTTGTTCATTTCTTTTTATTCTTTTTTCTCTAAACTTCTCTTCATGCTTCTTTTCATTCATTTCATCTTTCATCACTGATATGCTTTCTTCCAGTTGATCTCATCATCTCCTGAGGCTTCTGCATTCTTCACATAGTTCTCGAGCCTTGGCTTTCAGCTCCATCAGCTCCTTTAAGCACTTCTCTATATTGGTTATTCTAGTTATACATTCTTCTAAAGTTTTTCAAAGTTTTCAACTTCTTTGCCTTTGGTTTGTATTTCCTCCTGTAGCTCGGAGTAGTTTGATCATCTGAAGCCTTCTTCTCTCAACTCGTCAGAGTCATTCTCTGTCCAGCTTTGTTCCATTGCTGGTGAGGAACTGCATTCCTTTGGAGGAGGAGAGGTGCTCTGCTTTTTAGAGTTTCCAGTTTTTCTGCTCTGTTTTTTCCCCATCTTTGTGGTTTTATCTACTTTTGGTCTTTGATGATGGTGATGTACAGATGGGTTTTTGGTGTGGATGTCCTTTCTGTTTGTTAGTTTTCCTTCTAACAGACAGGACCCTCAGCTTCAGGTATGTTGGAGTTTGCTAGAGGCCCATTCCAGACCCTATTTGCCTGGGTATCAGCAGTGGTGTCTGCAAAACCGTGGATTTTCGTGATCCGTGAATGTTGCTGTCTGATCATTCCTCTGGAAGTTTTGTCTCAGAGGAGTACCCGGTCGTGTGAGGTGTCAGTCTGCCCCTACTGGGGGGTGCCTCCCAGTTAGGCTGCTTGGGGGTCAGGGATCAGGGACCCACTTGAGGAGGCAGTCTGCACATTCTCAGATCTCCAGCTGTGTGCTGGGAGAAACACTGCTCTCCTCAAAGCTGTCAGACAGGGACATTTAAGTCTGCGAGGTTACTGCTGCCTTTTTGTTTGTCTGTGCCCTGCCCCCAGAGGTGGAGCCTGCAGAGGCAGGAAGGCCTCCTTGAGCTGTGGTGGGCTCCACCCAGTTCGAGCTTCCCGGCTGCTTTGTTTACCTAAGAGAGCCTGGGCAATAGCCGGTGCCCCTCCCCCAGCCTCGCTGCCGCCTTGCAGTTTGATCTCAGACTGCTGTGTTAGCAATCAGCGAGACTCCATGGGCATAGGACCCTCTGAGCCAGGTGCCGGATATAATCTCCTGGTGTGCCGTTTCCTAAGCCC
This sequence comes from Homo sapiens, assembly GCF_000001405.40. Taxonomy (NCBI): domain Eukaryota; kingdom Metazoa; phylum Chordata; class Mammalia; order Primates; family Hominidae; genus Homo; species Homo sapiens. The sequence goes on along the minus strand of NT_187506.1, from coordinate 58,868 downwards.
GTCAGAAAAGCGCAGTGTTAGGGTGGGAGTGGCCTGATTTTCCAGGTGCCGTCTGTCACCCCTTTCCTTGACCAGGAAAGGGAACTAACTCCCTGACCCCTTGCACTTCCCAAGTGAGGCAATGCCTCGCCCTGCTTCAGCTAGTGCACAGTGCACTTCACCCACTGTCCTGCGCCCACTGTCTGGCACTCCCTAGTGAGATGAACCCAGTACCTCAAATGGAAATGCAGAAATCACCCGTCTTCTGCATCGCTCATGCTGGGAGCTGTAGACTCGAGCTGTTCCTATTCGGCCAGCTTGGCTCCTTCTCCCATTATTTTTTAATATTTTCTGAAAATCTTCTTTAAAGAGAGAAAGCCAAATGTCACCCACTTTTTCATAAAACCTTATAGGCAAATCTATTATTATTTTCTTTTCTTGAGGTGGATTTTCCCTCTTGTTGCCCAGGCTGGAGTGCAATGGCGCGATCTCGGTTTACTGCAACCCCCTGCCTCCCAGATTCAAGCAATTCTCCTGCCCCAGCCTCCTGAGTAGCTGGGATTAGAGGCGTGCCCCACCATGCCCAGCTAATTTTGTGTTTTTAGTAGAGACGGGGTTTTTCCTTGTTGTTCAGGCTGGCCCTGAACTCCTGACCTCAGGTGATCCACCTGCCTCAGCCTCCCCAAGTGTTGGGATTACAGGCGTGAGCCACTGCCTCTGGCCATTTTTTTTTTAAAGATAACATCTTTCTCTGTCACCCTCCTCACATTATAGCTCTGGGGCCAAGCTGCATCACAATGGAAATCATGGAGCCACAGGAAGAATCCACTCAGCTTTGCAAGATGTTGCCCAAGGGGTTGCTTGGAGTAACCAAATTAACATTTTTCATTCTGCTCAGAGCAAAATACATGTGACAAAACATAGACACGAGCCACTTTGCTTAGCACCCAGTGTCAAACTGGTAAGACTCAAACTTGCTCCCAGATAGGCCGTGCCATCTCTAAATCTTTTTAGAAGCTTCTGCATATTAATAGGCATCCCTAGATGAGACTAATTTGGGAGCCCTCATTTTTAAATGCACTTCAGGGCATTATTCATTTGGAATATTCCACTGTAAGTTAACTTTAGTAAGATTTTGCCATTTCTGTAAGACTTTGCTGCCTCCCAGGCCTAATGAATTAGCCAGAAGGAACTAAGTTTTCCAGAAATTAAGGATCCTATTTTTACCTAATATATTGGCTTTACTCCCAGGTTCCCTTGATTGACTTAGCCAATGATTTTTTTTCCTACCTAAGCGTGTGAGGAAAATGAAACAAAGGGGTAGAACACAAAAATCCCTGTGAATTTTCAAAAGCCAAATTTTACAGCCCTACAATATTATCATTTACTACCACTTTCCTTCTGACCCATTCAGATGTAGGAGGTCTCTAACTGGAACTGGATTCAAGCCAGTTAACTACTGGATCAAATCTGATCCTGGACCCGGTCCCGTTTCTGTCATAACTTCTAAAACATCCAGCCAGTCATGGCTGGATAGCAGTTTGGAACAGAAATTTGCTCAAAGAAACTCAGAGCTCAAAACACAAATCCATGGAGCTCTGAAATCCGAGAAAGAATTTATCATGATCCCCAGCAGCTCTGAGAGATCAAAGGGCACAAGTGTTACAGAATCCTGAGACATCACTTTTCTGCCTGAAGCCTCTGGCTGGTGGTGCCTTTACCTGTGTTTTGCTCGGGCCCACTGGGTTCGTTCTGTCCACTCGGGTCATGCTAGTGGTTTGGATCCCACACTTGCCAAGGGTGATCTGGGTACAGAGCAGTGAAGGGTGTGTGAGCAAGCAAGCATGGGATCTGGCCACTGCACACAGTCAAGCATGCCAGCTGCAGTGGGGTGGGCAGCTCCAGGCACCGGCACAGGTGCCAGATCCCTGTGAGGCTGCAGCTGGACCAGGCCGACTGCAAACAGCTTCCACTGTGGGTATCAGGGAATGCAGTGGCGCCCAGAAACTTGGAGATGCAGGAACTGCAGAACCCCAAAGAAGGCATCATAGCCCTGGCTTGGGGAGCTCCTAGGTCTGGGCTCCCTGAAGGGCCACAGCTCTTGTCTCCTTCTCTCTTCTCTTCTTCTTGCCTGCAATTTGGCAAGCAAGGGGTGCGTTTCAGCCCTGTTTATGTTACACCTCTTTCAGCCCTGCTAGTTGGCAGGTCCCGAGTTCTTGTCCTGAGTCCAGGAAGAATGAGGTATGTGGGCAAGTAGAAGGTGAGCAAGGTGAAGAGGTGCTTTATTGAGCAACAGTTCAGCTCAGAGGAGACCTGCAGTCGGTAGCTCCTTTCTGCAGGCAAGTCATCCCAACGTCTGTTCAGCTCTCAGCAGCTGAGAGAGATGCACTGTGGTTAGCTGTGCCCACATTGCCGAGGCTGTTCGAGCTGAGGAGTGCCTTCAGGCCAGTGCTGAGCCACTCTTAGCCCCACCTCAACCTCCCTCTTGTGCTCGTCAGTGCCCAAAGTCTGGAGGGGGCTGAGGTGGCAGGGGGCTGGCATGTCAGCACTGCCTTGAGCTTGCACATACCAGGCCGGGTTCCGACTGTGCCTGGGTTCAGCCTCAACTTGGATCTGAGGTTGGAGTGGGCTCTGGGAGTGGAGAGACGCCAGGTGGTGGGACCAGGTACAACTGAGCCTGCGGGGGCAGGGGGGCTTGCTGGGCCTCTGAGAGTGCAAAGATGCCCGGGTTTGCAGTCATGGCTGGATGGCTGCAGCTGTGCCTGGGAGGGCGGGGCTCCTGCCTGCCAATTTAGAAGGGGTGGGGCTCCCACCCTTTCCTGACTCCCACCAGCTTCGAGGAGCGCACAGCCCCAGCCACTCCTCCTCACTGCAGCCAGTGTCTCCGTAGCAACTGCTCCACATGGGCCACTGCTGCCATCACAGAGCAGTCCTTGCAGGTGCCTTTCTTGTACTTCAGCACTCCTGGGGGTCATTAGAAGCCCTAGGAACACTGCTCACCACATTATAGCTCCGGAGGCCCTAGCAGTCCTGCTCCCACAGATCCCACTTCTGACACCATCTGTTAAAAGAAAATCTTCAGCTGAATTAAATTTAAAGGAACTTAATTGAGAAATGAATGATTCACAAATCAGGCAGCCCCCAGAATCACAGAAGATTTGGTGAGACTCCAGCACAGCTACAGGGTGGAAGATTTATAGACAATAAAGGGAACGTGATGTACAGAAATCTGAGTGAGGAGTGAGGTCCGGAAGCAACTGGGTCCCTTACCATTCTCAGCAATGTGGTCCAGAAACAACTGGACTGGTTACAGTGCTCAGCATTTGCCTTATTTGAACACAGCTGAACACTCAGCAGTGTGTGAGTGGCAGAAGTTTGGCTGTTGGGATTGGCCAGGACTCAGCTATAGTTACAGGTGCATACTCCTAAGTTAGGTTTTCAGTCTTTCTACCTATTAAGTTAGGTTGCAGTTTGTCCACAGGGACTCAAGTCTAGAAGTACAGAGTCCTTCCCAGGCCATATTTAGTTCACTGTAACAGTTCCTATTATGACCTCACTGACAGTTCTTTTTCTCTGAATTCTCCTTTCTTCTCAACAGCTTATCCAAATGTTCCACTGGTCCCTGTTCATCCCGCCGTGCAGTTCTCCTTGACTGATTCAGCCCTTTGTGGTTTGCAGTCCTGTTTCTCTACAGCTTGGACCTCTTCAGTCTTTCCATCATAGGTTTAACTCTCTGTTGAATGCTTCTTTGTAGCTACGCAAAAGTTACCTTAAGCTCAAAAAATTCAAAGTGAAAGCCACATCCTCCTCTCTTCCTTTATGTGTATGGTATTACTACAATGCAGCCAGTGACCCAAAATGGGATTTCTTCTGGGCTTTTCTTGCTTAGATTCAGGCTCATCTGGTGTCAAGCCTTGTTAGTTTTGTTTTCTTGTTCTTTTATTTTTATTTTTTTTTTCTTTTGAGACAGAGTTTCACTCTTGTTGCCCAGGCTAGAGCGCAGTGGTGTGATCTCGGCTCACTGCAGCCTCCACCTCCCGGGTTCAAGCAATTCTCCTGCCTCAGCTCCTGAGTAGCTGCTATTACAGGCATTTGCCACCATGCCTGGCTAATTTTGTATTTTCAGTAGAGATGGGGTTTCTCTGTTTTGATCAGGGTGGTCTCGAACTCCCGACCTCAGGTGATCCACCTGCCTCATCCTCCCAAAGTGCTGGGATTACAGGCGTGAGCCACCGTGCCTGGCCTGCTTGTTGTTTTCATCTCATCCTGATTTCTGAATACAGGAGAGGAGCTGAGTTGGTGTTCACTAACAAGCACGGAAGCTTTGTTACATTTACAGTGTCATTCTTGGATGCGGCAGCGGTTCTTCTGTTGGGGACCAGTGAGTAGGCACTGGGGAGGGCTCACCTGTGCTTCCTCAGTGGCTCCACCTCTGCTTCTAAAAAGAATTACTCATTGCAGGGCTGGGGCAGAGAAAATACAAGATGAGCTTAGAACATCTTCTGCCAGAAAGTAAAAAAGTGCCGACAGAGTAATGGAGACAAATCAAAGAGACATAAAGTCAGCTTGGAATGTCTACTACTGGCCTAATCTTGGGGAATTGGAGCATCAGAATCATGAGCTTTCCTTCTCCCTTATTTATTGGTTTTATTTCTCCATGTAGAACAAAGAAGAGAATAAGAAAATAATCATCTGGCAACCATCATAGTAATAATTGTTCAAACACAAGTCATCCATGAAATGCTAAATCTAGTGGGTTCTGAGGAGTAACCAGATATTTACAGAGCCTCAAAGTATCTCTATACAAAATACGGTGAGATGGTGCAAATAAACTTTTTTTAATTTTTTTTATTTTCAAGATGGAGTCTTGCCCTGTCACCCAGGTTGGAGTGCAGTGGTGCAATCTCAGCTCCTGCAACCTCCGTCTCCCAGGTTCAAGCAATTCTCTTCCTCAGCCTTCCTAGTAGCTGGGATTTCAGGTGCCCACCACCGCACCAGGGTAATATTTTTTTTTTTTTGTACTTTTAGTAGAGATGGGGTTTCACCATCTTGGCCAGGCTGGTCTTGAACTCCTGACCTCGTGATACATCTGCCTCGGCCTCCCAAAGAGCTGGGATTACAGGCATGAGCCACTGCACCTGGCTGGTGCAAAGAAACTTTAAAAGTGACATGGGCCGGGTGCGGTGGCTCATGCCTGTAATCCCAGCACTTTGAGAGGCTCAGGCAGGCAGATCACAAGGTCAGGAGTTCAAGAAGAGCCTGGCCAATATGGTGAAACCCTGTCTCTACTAAAAATGCAAACATTAGCTGGGTGTAATGGTGGGTGCTTGTAGTCTCAGCTACTCAGGAGGCTGAGGCAGGAGAATCACTTGAACCCGGGAGGTGGAGCTTGCAGTGAGTGGAGATAGATGGCACCAAGACACTCCAGCCTGGGTGACAGAGTGAGATACTGCCTCAAAAAAAAGAAAAAAAAAATGTGGTATGAACCACAGCTAAACTATAATCAATTAGAGAGTAAGCCAAAGCATCTCAAAGTATATCATCAGTTATCAGGCAATAACATGCAATTTCTAAAACCTAACTTAAATGCAGCTTTTAAAGACATTTCAAACGTCTCAGTTTAGTCACATTTATTGAATAAAGTTAGCAAATGGATATCTCTTGAAAATGAGAGCTCCAGGGAATTAAAAAATGTAAAGTTCCCATTTCCTTTCTGTGTTAACACAGCTAATTATGATCTTTACTTCACATGCAAAAGTCAACAGAACAACTCAGTATTTCACCAAATTATAAACAAGAATTACGCTAGAGAAATGAAACCCTAAAGAGAAACGGTCATATAACTAACCTCAGTCAAGTAGTTCTGGCAATTATTTGAAGTCTGAGGCTTGAAGTAGGAATTCTTACGGGCATTTGGGGAATATATTTTCATTGAGTCCTATACTAGTAAGATTTTCAACACAAGGTGACTCTCGACCTCGCCTTGCAGGAAGAGTGCTGAGAAAATATTTCACCTGCTCTTTCTCCATAAAGAGCTGATACTGATCATTGCTATTTTCTTATTCGATCTGTAAAGATAGCAAAGACAAATGCTTAGTATTTCATTTTTCCTTAAATGATTCTTAATGACTTGCAGTTTTTAAAAACTTACCCTGAGAGTAAACCAAATTACCCACTAAATAGTGTTTTCACACAGAAGATGTGTAAGAGCATACCTGTTGTAAGGAATTATAATTTTAAAATCATTCTAAAGAAGCACCATTGTTTCTAAGGTGATTTCTACTGAACAAGCAGTTCAAACAAAGTAGACAGGGAAGAGAAATGGCTATCAGTGATGTATGGCTCAACAGGTAAAACTTCCTGCCTTCTAAAATGGCTCTACTTGTAAGATTCTGAAGATTCCATTAGAAATACTTGTATTTAAAGGGTAATAATGTGGGAAAATGAATATGTTGATTTGCTTGATTATAAGAACCACTTCACTAGAAATAATTATATCAAAACATAATGTTGTACTCCTTAATGTAGGTGAAGAAAACTAAAATAAACAAAAAAAATCTAGGAATACTTGTGTTTAGTAAACCAGTTTTAGATTTCACTCTTGTACATTTCACCCATTATCTAGGACCAATTACACATTTGGCACTGAGGAATAATTCAGAGCAACAACTCCTAGGGGAGAACTAGATTGTCTGGTTGGTGATCAAAAAGAACTAAAGCATCTCTGAAGGGAATTAGCCCCCAACACTGTGACCAAGGCCCTGGAGGTGGGGCATGTTCTTTCTGCCTTCCACACAACGCTTCAGGCTGAACAAGGTGTTATTTTTTAACCGCTTTGTGAATTACACTTCTTTAAATTCCTGTGATAATTATTCCCTATTTCACAAGGGTGCCTTTCTGTAACATCTTGAATATGTTACACAAATAGTCTTTCTTGAGGCACACTCTGGTGATAATACTAAAGATCACAATCAAAAACAATTGTGCCCAGAGTAGCAGTACCACTTTGCATTTAGGTTGTGATCTACAGAAAAGTAAATTAAACACATTAATATTTCTATTTAGGGAAATTCTGACAAGTAATTTTATAACAAGATCACTTCATTAATTATAAAGCTTCAAAAATACTTAGTGAAGAAAACTAACAGATCAGGTTAATTACCTGAGACTTTTCAGGAAAAAAAGCCATACAAAAGCAAAAAAAAAAAAAAATGAGGGGAGAGACAAAAACTATCTTTGACTAACATTTTAAAGGTAAGATTATTTACTAACATTATTTTTCAAAATTACATTGTCAAATTAACATTCACTTCCTTCTAATCTCCTGAAGCCATCTCACTAAAAATTATGCTTTTGAAACAAATTAATGAGGTTAATTCATTTTCTATGAGTGTATGTTTTGACTTACTTAGTTAATTTTTTTAACATGGAACTGTTAGCTTTCAATGCTGCTGCAAAGGCTTCCTTATATTCTTCTAACTCAGTTGTAACCTCTTCATAAGCAGTTTTCATTTTGTAGAATTTACATTCCACATCTTTAAGTGTGAGTTCCTTCTTATTTAGTGAAGCTGTATTATATCCTTGTTTAACTGCTCTAATTGTTTTTTATATTGTGCTTGTTCCTAAAACAGAGGAAAAGAATACACTTTTAAAACAATTATAACCTAATTATTATGTTTGTTGCCTTTCATTTTGAGTCAGTGATTCAAAGAGTATTTTTGAATATGTTAAAAAAGAGGCTGAAGGTTAAAATATTTCAGCAATATCAAAACTAATAACTGAATTCAGAATTAAGTCTGATTTGTAAAAATTTGAAATCATAATTATGCTAGTATTAATGTAATCTGGTCATATAAAAAGTAATAGAATCCATTCGTAATTTGAAAAAGTGATCAATGAACACTGTAGCTTAAGACCAATTCATAATTATCACATAATTTCTAAATCACAATTTCTTCCTATGCCAACTGGTCTTAATCATCAAATGACTCCATAATGAGAATCATTACTCTGAAAGATTGATTTTGTTACAATAATAATGGATATTTAAATATTTAAAAGAAAAAAGAGATACCATTTTTTTCTAGAACTCTACAAAGCAGATTGCTACAAGAGAGGCAGAGGAAACACTATATAAATATAATTTGAAGTGAAATAAATGAAAGCACATTACAAGTAAACTTACCTGATTGAAACAACTCACCTGTAAATGTATTTCTTCTAATTTTTCTACTGCCTGCATTGCCCTTTCATCTAGCTCTGATTTATATTCTTGTAGTTTACTAAGTTCTACCATACTGTTTTCCATATGTGTCTTAAGATTTAATATTTCTTCTTCCAACATCTTTTTATCCTCCTCAAATTTTTCACATTCCTGTTGTGCTTTTTTCATAGATAATAACTCCTGTTGAAAAACTTGATTCTCTTTAGCCAAATTGACACATTTTGAAGATACAGCTTCCTTCTCTGCCATAAGATCATCAAACTGCATGAATAAAATAGTATAGCTTGATAATGAAGTAGGCTGAGAATAATCTAATACAAAACCAATAGCAAATTTTGAAATGCATTTACTTGCAATAAAATGTTATCTGTAATGCAGCAGATTCTTCAAATGTGAACCCTGAAATTACTCAGAATTTTAAGAACAAAGTTAAAGCTACCATGAGTCATAAAAATATATTCTTTACTATCATCATCTTCGCCACAGAATTTTTGTACTTCATTTTACTTTTATTTTTCGATAATTCATTTTTGTTCCTCCTTAAATGGCACAAAGTTATCTCCTAGTAAAAAGTGTCTAACCCCCTTCCTTCATTATCATTCCCCACAGTATGTCAAAAAAAGTTTCAGAGATATCATATTGAGTTATTTAGGCCAAAGTCAATAAATGGGCCTAGGAATAAGACTTTGAAAATAATATTACACTCTATATTAGGCATGGTGGCTCATGCCTGTAATCCTAGCACTTTAAAAAGCTGTGGCAGAAAGATCACTTGAGGCCAGGAATTTGAGATCAGCCAGAGCAACATAGTGAGACCCCCATCTCTACAAAAAAAAAATTTTTAATTACCCGGGCATGGTGGCTCATGCCTGTAGAACCAGCTAGTTGGGATACTGAGGCAAAAGGATGGCTTGTACCCAGAGTTCAGGGCTGCAGTGAATTATTATCACTGCACTTCTGCCTGGATGACAGACAAAGACCCTATCTCAAAAAAACAACACAAAATAATGAAATCTATGATTAAGGATTCTGATGCTATAAGCCTTTCCTTAAACTGCAAATGTTTCATGCTAATTTGAATTGCATTTTAAGAAGTAATGATTCTTGGGGTAAAGACCATAGAATACGGCACCCAGAAATAAATCCACATATTTCCAGCCAACTGATTTTGGACGAACATGCCAAGAACATACGCTGGGGAAAGGACAGCCTCTTCAAATGAATGACACTGGGAAAACTAAATATCCATATGGAGAAGAATGATATTAGCTTCCTATGTAACACCATATAACAACATAAACTCAGAATCGATTGAAGACTGAAATATAAGGCCCAAAATTATCAAACTACTCTAAGTAAATATAGGGAAAATGTTTGAGGACATTAGTCTGCACAAAGATTTTTATGGGTAAGACATCAGAAGCATAGGCAAACAACAAATCATAGACAAATGACACTACATTAAGCTAAAGAGCTTCTGTCCAGCAAACAACTGAGTGAAGAAAAAACCTGTAGAATAGGAGAAAATATTGTCAAGCTATTCACCTAATAAGGGACTAATATACAAAATATACAAAAAAACTCAAACAACTTCACAGTAAAAAAAATCTGAGTTCAAAATTGGGCAAAATATATAACTATACTTTTTTTTAGAAAAAGAAATACAAATAACCAATAAATAAATTTTAAAATGCTCAGTATCACTAATCCTCAGGGAAATACAAATCAAATCTACAATGTGATATAATCTTGCTTCAATTTGAATAAATTGCTGTCATTGAAAAGACAAAAAAAATAACAAATGCTCGTGAGGCTCCAGAGAACAGTAAACTCTTACATGCTGTTGGTGGGAAGGTAAATTAGTGCAGCCACTATAGAGAACAACAGGAGGTTTTCTCAAAAAAACTAATAATGGGACTGCCGAGGGATCCAGCAACCCCACTACTGGGTATTCAGGCAATAGAAAAGAAAACAATAGATCAAAAGGATACCTGTCCTCATATGTTTACTGTAGCACTATCCACAACAGCTTCTGTATGGAATCAACCTACATGTCCATCACCAAATGAATGGACGAAAAACTGTGGCACACAAACACAGTGGAATAGTATTCACCGTATAAAGGAATTAAATCCTGTTATTCGTGGCCACGTGGATCAGTCTGACGGATGTTATGTTAAGTGCAGACACAGAAAGATAAATACTGCACATTCTTACTCATGTGTGGGAGCTAAAGGAAAATTGAAGGCTGGGCAATATGGCTGATGCCTGTAATTTCCTAGCTCTTTGTAAGACCAAGGCAAGAGAATCATTTGAGGCCAAAAGTTCCAGAGCTCCCTGGGAAACATAGGGAGATATCTCTACAAAGTCAAAAATCAGACATGTGCAATGGTGCATGCCCATAATGCCAGCTGCTCAGGAGGCTGAGGTGTGAGGATCAGATGGGCCCAAGAGTTTGAGGCTGCAGTGAACTATGATCAAACCACTGTCTCCAGTCTGGGTGACTACAGTTGCCCAGAGCCCAGACTACACTAGCAAGACCCTGTCTCTTAACAAAAAAAAGCTCACAGAAGTAGGGGAGGTGAGGCTGGTTAATGGATACAGAATTACAGTTAGATAAGAGGAGTGGGTTCTGGTGTTCTGTGGCATTGTAGGGTGAATATGGTTAACTACGACTTATTGTATATTTTTAAAAAGCCAGAAGATTTTGAATGTTCACAATTCAAAGAAATGAAAAATGGTTGAAGTAGTAAATGTGCTAGTTAGCTTGATCATTACACACTATATACATGTATAAAAATATCACTCTATAGCCCATAATTATGTATATATGTGTCAATTAAAACAAAAGAGAAGCTACATTCATCCCATTTAAAAAGCAGAATATGGGCCAGCCTTACTGACTTCCTTCTAATGAGTAGAATGTAGTGAAAGGGATACCATGTGGCTTCCCTATCTCAGACTGTTTTCCCTTGGAACCCAGCCCCAATTGTGAGAGCCTGAAAGTGCCTGTGTCAGTGTTCATGCTGCCTGTCCCAACCAAGTTTACAGCCGATGGCCAGCATCAACCATCAAACAAGTGGGTGACCAAAGCTTCAGAGGATTCCATTTCCCCAACTGATCAGCTCTTCCTAGGGAAGCTGAAGGGAGCAGAGACAAGCTGTTCTGGCCAAGTTTTTCCCAAACCACAGGTTCATGAACAAAATAAATGTTTTTCTTTCAAGCCACAAGACTCTGGGTAATTGTTAGAAAAATAACTTTTAAAAAGAGACAACAGGAAACATAACTTATGCAGCAGAAAAGTCTCCTTTAAAGTAGGATCTAATAAATGTTGAGATTTATTTATTGATGTCAAACATTATTGAGAAGCAGCAGATAACCAGGAGAGAGACATAAGCTGCTGAGGAGGAATTTTCCTAAAACTCCTTCAATTATGAACTCTGATAACAAGGCAAGGATGTCTCCTTACAATTTCCCCTCAAGTTAGGAAATAAGATTGGGAAGCAAGAAGATGTATGATTTGAAAAACAACTAGAGATACTTGGTGACATAGGCAAAATCAGACATTTACCTGATTTCAATTAACTAAAATTCTAAAAGAAGAAGCTTTGAGTGTTTATTAATCAACCTAGTATTCAATTTTCATTTTCTTTTCTAAATGAGCAAATAAGGAGATTATGGAATGATTTTTAGTCTTCACAGAAGTAAAATAAGCATAGTGTGTTTTGAGTGTTAAGACATCAAATGCAATTTCTCCTTTACCTTACTCCAAGCTTGTTTGTATGGAGAAGTTAAGACCATCCCATCTCTATGTTATGCCACAATGCTCCTCTATAGCACACAACTTGGCTCCGAAATTTTGAAAGTCAAAATACTAACCTACTATGTGTCTCTGATAAATTGCCTGAACATTACCTGATTTTGAAGTGCTGCACTCCTAAGACTTTTTCTTGGAATGAGTTAAACGTTTTATTCCAAGAATCCTCTACTGAGCTAGAAAGCAGAGCTGTGCATCTCTGTTTCAGTAAAAGGAGGTCAATACAGGGAACTGTGGTCTCTGAGAATGCAAGATCTGCACTAAGAAAAGGATTAGCTACAGTACTACCCAAGAGAACCAGCTACCAGGAGGAAAGAGGGTCTGTAAACTGCAAGATGATGACTTCACTTGATTTCCACTGAGGAAAGCTGGTGGTTCAGACTTAAACTTCTCCTTCCTCGATGGTAAACATCTATGGAAGGTTCTATGAATTATAATGAGTTAGTAAAACATAATGCACTAAATATTAGACTATGTCAGCAGATCCTGCGACCAAAACTTACTGAAAATATAACTATAGCGGGAGGCAATGGAAAAGAGACTAAAGGCTTGAATGGAGAAAAAAAGAAATTAAATGTGTCTTGTAAGCCTGGCGTCTGATCATGTCTTAGACGAAGTAAGGTATAAGCTGGCCAGAGACTCCTTTGTGACACAAAAGGTGAAGTTACAGATATTCCACTAAATTTAATTTTTATTATGACATAAGACAACTGGTAATATGCAACATGATTGAAAAAAACTTCTCATTCAATTCGATTGGGCCTTGACATAAGAATAGACATAAAGAAGCTAAGAATTCACAATCTAAAAATAAGCTTGCACTTTTACAATCAATTGATTTTATACAAACTTAACGAAAGAACACAATGGGAAAAGAATAGTCTTTTCAACAAATGGTGCTGGGACAACTGGGTATCCATAAGAAAAAATAAATAAAGTTCGACCAAATATCTTATTTAAAAATTAACTCAAAATAAAATAGTTAACTGTAAAAGCTAAAACTATAAAACCCTCAGAAGAAAACACTGGCATAAATCTTTGTGACAGCATTTGCCAGTGTTTTCTTAGCTATGACTCCAAAGGAAAAATGGATTCAATGGACTTCAAAATTGAAAACTGCTGTGCCTCAGAAGACAGTATGAAGAAGTGAAAAGGTAAGACGCCAAGTAGAAGAAAGTATTTGAAAAGCGTGTATCTGATAAGGGACTTACATATATAGGAAATATAAATAACTCTTGCAATTAATAAATAACAAGATAAGCCAATTTTAAAAAATGGTCAAAGATTTTGAATAGATATATCTGCAAAGCAGATATAAAGATGGATAAGCACATTAATAGATGCTTAATGTAATTAGTCATTAGGAAAATGTAAATCAAAACCACATGTGGTATCACTTCACACCACAGGATAAAATCTTTGTTCAAGAAAAAAGAGGGTTAGAAAAAAATGTAAAGAAATTAAAACCCTTAACTAATGCTGCTGGGAATGTAAAGTGATGCAGCCACTTTGGAAAACAAACTGGCAGCTCCTTAAAGGGTTAAGCATAAAGTTACCATATGACACAGAAATTCCAGTCATAAGTATATACTCCAGAAAAATAAAAACATACACAAGCACAAAAACTCATACATAAATGTTTACAGCAGCATTATTAATAGTAGTCAAAAGGTGGAAAGAACCAGAACGTCTGTCACCTTTGGGTGGGAGAGAACCCAAAGGTCCCATCACCTGGCGAATAGATAAATAAAATGTTTGATGTATCCATACAATGGATTATTACTCAGCAATAAGAAGAAATTAAGTACAGATACCGTATTAGGAGGAGACAGCAAAATGCCTAGGCAGATACGGAAGGGTGCCCGGAAAATCTCCAACCAGCTCCACAAGTGTTTACACCAGATGTTATGTGCAGATAAGGGAAGCTGGACTTGTCTTGCCTGGACATGCCCGCAGCAGACCGGAGGCCCACATGCAGTGGGGGGATGGGGTGGAGTCACCAGGAATTCACGCCTTATGCAGAGGAGGAGCCTGGCCGCTTCAGCTCATGTGCTCCTGGTATTCAATTGTGAGGTGGAAACCTGTTTGCAGGACCCCTCTCTTTGCTGAGAGCTGTCCTTTCACATAATAAATTCTGCCCTCCTCAATGTGTCTGCATGCTTAATTTTTCCTGGTCACGAGAGAAGAACCCAGATGTAGCTGAACTAAGGAGCAAAAACCCGACATCTATACCTGCTACAGCACAGATGCAGCATGAAAAATTATGCTAAGTGAAATAAGCCAGTCCCAGCAGACCACTTGCTTTTTATTTCAGAGGCTTATAGGCAAATCTATACAAAGAAGCTGGGTGGTTCCCTAGGGCTGAGGGAGGAAGGGAAAACTAGTGAAGATGGCTAAATGATGTGGGGTTTGTTTTTAGGGTGATGAAAATGTTCTAAAATTAATTGTAATGATGACGGCATAACTCTGAAAATACTAAAGTTAATGAATTGTATACTTTAAATGAGTGAATTGCATGGTGTGTTCATTATTTCTCAATAAACCTGTTACCCCCCCACCCCGAATTAATTTGGTACTAGAGATCCGGAGATAGGTACTGCTTGGTTTCAAATCACTGGCCAGGGTTCAAGGTCTAAGAGAATCAACAACATGTCCTTTTTATAGAAAAAGAGATTTATATTTTACAAGCTATCCTTTTCATTAGTATCAAGTCTGTAAAATTAAATGAAAAATCTTTCTTTCACTGCTTAAAGCACTGACAGATTTATATAGAGGAATAAGACCTTGTTTTCTTTGGCCCCAATTTCTATCTAAAGGGTCTGGGAAACACACCCTTCAAACTATCAAATCTCATCAGATGGGTTTTATTAACACTTATAATGTGGCTTCCTTTCTAATCTGATTCTGGTGCAGCATCACAGAGAGAAGAGGCTGAAGGAAATCAAAATATTTTACCCCCAAATATATTTTTTGACGTATTTTGAAATGGCTGCTGCAGGCCAAGAGATTGAAATGGCCCTCATTAAGGTAGCCCAATCTCTCCCCTTCTAGGTCTTCCCAGATCTGGGGAAGATTAACTAAGAGCCTGAGGCATTTAAAGTTTGAAAAGATATATTTACCCTCTATTTTATCAACATATTTTGGCAGAATTTGGGTTTTTCCATTATCAATATTTTCCAAAATGCATGATTTTTAATACCAAAACTGATTTAAAATTACCATACATTGGAAGATAAATTATTCTATTATAAAGATACATGCATTTGTATGTTCACTGCAGCACTATTCACAATAGTAAAGACATGGAATCAACCCAGGTGGACATTATCAGTGATAATGGGATAAAGAAAATGTGGTATATATACACCATGGAATACTATGGAGCCATAAAAATGAATGAGATCGTGCTCTTTGCAGGGATATGGATGAACCCGAAGCTGATATCTTCAGCAAACTACTGCAGGAAGAAAAAACCAAACACTGCATCTTCTCACTTATAAGTGGGAGCTGAACTATAAGAACACATGGACTCGGGGAGGGGAACAACAAACACTGGGGCCTGTTGGGGTCAGGAGGGAGAGTATCAACATCAATAACTAATGCCCACAGGGCTTAATATCTAGGTGATTGATTGATAGGTGCAGCAAACCACCATGGCACATGTTTACCTATATAACAAACCCGCACATCTCACACACGTAATCTAGACCTTAAGATAAAATAATTTTTTTTAAATTACCTTCTGTTTTAGCTTCTTAATCAGAATATCCATTTTCAGTTGATCTGTTTTTAAGTCTCCATGGCAACCAAAGTCTTCATTTCCAAATACATTTCACTTATTTATTGTCATTTCCAGGAGGCGTTTATATCTGCAGAAATGTACAGAATTAGTAAGTCAAGTATTTTTAAGAGTAAATATTTAATAATTGTTTAAATATATGTTATGGCATATCAAGGAAACAAATCTATAAACTATGTTCCTTTCAGTTTCAACTGAACATAGTTTAAAAGCATTCTATATGAAATTATAATCTTAGATAAATAATATGAAGAACAATTTTATGTCATATATGGCAGGTAAAGTGATATTATAAACATACAGTGTTTTTGTTTTGTTTTTTTTGTTTTGGATGGAATTTCATTCTTGTTGCCCAGGCCAAAGTGCAATGCAGTGATCTCAGCTCGCTGCAACCTCTGCCTCCTGAATTCAAGTGATTCACCTGTCTCAGCCTCCCAAGTGGCTGGGATTACAGGTGTGTACCACTACGTCTGGCTCATTTTGTATTTTTAGTAGAGATGAGGTTTCACTGGTCAGACTGGTCTTGAACTCTTGACCTCAAATGATCCACCCACATTGCTCTCCCAAAGTGCTGGGATTACAGGTGTGAGCCACCACACCTGGCCTAACTGTACACTTTTTGTAAATAAACTACTCATATCCATGTTGGTATGCTAGGTAAAATAACCTATTACTAAATATAAGCCATAACCCAGAGATAAGTAACCAAGATAAAAAAGTAAAACACATACGTTTGAAAAAGACAAAAAATACATTTTGATATGCATTGATCACAGTCTATCAGAGAAAAAAAAGTACACACAAAAAGCATCAAGGAGATCTTTCAATGTAGAAAAAGAGAAGAAAACATCTTTAATATCTGAGTTGAAGAGAAAAAGGAAACAGGCAGTTTTAGAAAAAAGGAAAGGGGCGGAGAGATGTGTGACGATTTAAAGACTTTGAAGAAGAGATCTAGACATCTTTGCTGACATAATGTCAACAAAATTAAACAGACACAAAACCATGTAGAGAAAGGCAATGACAGAAAAATGTTGATTCGAATCAGAAAACCAAATTAAGTGCTCAGTAAATAAATAGAAAAGTAGCTGTGTTCAAGGCTTCAAAGACAGATTCCGTTGTTTTAAAAAAAATCTGTGATCAAAACATAAATGTTCATTTTACTTTTTCTTCAAGTTATACATATATTTATATATATGAAATTTATTTATGTAAAACAAGTTTAATAACATGTATACTTCATGTATACAACAGAGGTACTCATCTACAATGAGTAAATTTCCATGATATGTTTTATATCTAAAAGAAAAAGAAGCAGAAACAAAATATAAGCTACATATCAAGATAAATTTGATGTTAAAGAATGACACAAACAAGTCTTCTTTAAGGAATTTGAATGCAGCAGAGGGTACTACAAAAGGAAGAAAAAATGACCACAGACAGCAAAACATATCTTCAGAAATAAAAATTCAAACTAGATAATGAAGAGTGCACTGGACATTATATGTCCAAGGCTTGGTCATTGTTTTCAAAATCATGAAAGAATAAGTGGCCGGGCATGGTGGCTCACGTCACTTTGGGAGGCCGAGGCAGCAGATCACGAGGTCAGGAATTCAAGACCAGCCTGATCAACTTGGCAAAACCCCATCTCTACTAAAAATACAAAAATTAGCTGGGAGTGGTGGCACATGCCTGTAATGCCAGCTACTCAGGAGGCTGAGGCAGGAAAATTGCTTGGAGGCATAGGTTGCAGTGAGCCAAGACCGTGCCATTGCACTCCAGCCTGGGAAACAGAGCCAGACTCTTTCTCAAAAAGAAAAAAAAATATTTTGGCATTCAAAAAAAATTTCACCTTGCCCCAGCAGCTCAGCTGACTCCCGCCCCCATGACACACATATCTAAAAAGTTGTGCTGTGAGTTTCTGAAATACATTTTAAAATAGAATTCATTTAATTATGAAAATGCAAACTTAAAATGAATTTGTATCTAGGTTTTAGTCAAGTAAAATTAGAGTTAAATCAATTAATAAGTGGTTAACATGTTCTACAATATGAAAACCATCCATGCCCAGTTGCTTCTTCTTCTAAATCATGACTTTTCTTTCTTATTCGATCCACATTGTACTCCAGTGATGATATTAACTCAAAAAGTTTTCTTAATTCTTCATTTTTTTCTTCAGGCTTAAAAAAGTGTTTAAAATTATTTTTGTAAAATCTAGAGTCCCTCTTTTATCTCAAAAATATTATTTCTCATAAGTGGATGAGTAATATGTATTTAAGCAGGTGTATAAAGTGCATTTTGTAAACCTGATGCCAATAAGGGCAGATCTCAAAAATAGTCACTTTTCTTAAAACTGCTATAAGTGTTTCAAATTTTCATCGTTATCTTTTCTGAAATTTAAACTGCCAACAATGTTTGTTACAAATGAGGGTTTTTACACTCAAAATACTAAGGGTTAGTTAAAAAAAAAGAGCAGTTATATTTACATTTTAGTTTTTAAACATGCTCTAGAAATATTGTCTTTAATAGTTTAAGATATTCCAAGTTTTCTTAAATTACATCTTACTAAGACAATTTTTAAAAAACTCTTATCTAGTTCCCATTACATTTTTCATCCTCATCTGTCTTCAGGTTGAGCTAAATACTGTCATTCTAAGTATTCACCCATAGGTTTCAGTTTTTCCCTTTCTCTTAACCATTTCTCTTTAAATAAAGTATATTTTTCTATAATAAAAACAACTTTTGTCTACTTTTTGTGGCTTTTCTATTATCGTGTTTCTCCCCTTCCATTAGACTCTATGGCACATGGTCTCATTCAGAAATCTATTTTTCATCAATTATGGTGTTTTTTATACTGAAATCTGATTTTTAATAATCCCAATAAAAAAGTCCAAGGGTCATGAAGGACTTTATCCTGCTGTACTCAGCAGAGCAGTGACCAAATGCTCCCTCTGCTCCTCTGACCCCGCCTCCTTTCTCAATGCAGCGACCTCTGTTCTTCAGCCCTGTCCCTTTCTATTCCTCTGACCCCGCCTCCTTTCTAAATGCAGCGACCTGTGTTCTTCAGGTCTATCCCTTTCTATTCCTCTGACCCCGCCTCCTTTCTCAATGCAGCGACCTCTGTTCTTCAGCCCTGTCCCTTTCTATTCCTCTGCCCCGCCTCCTTTCTAAATGCAGCGACCTCTGTTCTTCAGCCCTATCCCTTTCTATTCCTCTGACCCCGCCTCCTTTCTAAATGCAGCGACCTGTGTTCTTCAGCCCTATCCCTTTCTATTCCTCTGACCCCGCCTCCTTTCTAAATACAGCGACCTGTGTTCTTCAGCCCTGTCCCTTTCTATTCCTCTGACCCCGCCTCCTTTCTAAATGCAGCGACCTGTGTTCTTCAGCCCTGTCCCTTTCTATTCCTCTGACCCCGCCTCCTTTCTAAATGCAGCGACCTGTGTCCTTCAGCCCTATCCCTTTCTATTCCTCTGACCCCGCCTCCTTTCTAAATGCAGCGACCTGTGTTCTTCAGCCCTGTCCCTTTCTATTCCTCTGACCCCGCCTCCTTTCTAAATGCAGCGACCTGTGTTCTTCAGGCCTATCCCTTTCTATTCCTCTGACCCCGCCTCCTTTCTCAATGCAGCGACCTCTGTTCTTCAGCACTATCCCTTTCTATTCCTCTGACCCCGCCTCCTTTCTAAATGCAGCGACCTGTGTTCTTCAGCCCTGTCCCTTTCTATTCCTCTGACCCCGCCTCCTTTCTAAATGCAGCGACCTCTGTTCTTCAGCCCTATCCGTTTCTATTCCTCTGACCCCGCCTCCTTTCTAAATGCAGCGACCTGTGTTCTTCAGCCCTGTCCCTTTCTATTCCTCTGACCCCGCCTCCTTTCTAAATACAGCGACCTCTGTTCTTCAGCCCTGTCCCTTTCTATTCCTCTGACCCCGCCTCCTTTCTAAATGCAGCGACCTCTGTTCTTCAGCCCTATCCGTTTCTATTCCTCTGACCCCGCCTCCTTTCTAAATGCAGCGACCTGTGTTCTTCAGCCCTGTCCCTTTCTATTCCTCTGACCCCGCCTCCTTTCTAAATGCAGCGACCTCTGTTCTTCAGCCCTATCCGTTTCTATTCCTCTGACCCCGCCTCCTTTCTAAATGCAGCGACCTGTGTTCTTCAGCCCTGTCCCTTTCTATTCCTCTGACCCCGCCTCCTTTCTAAATGCAGCGACCTGTGTTCTTCAGGCCTATCCCTTTCTATTCCTCTGACCCCGCCTCCTTTCTAAATGCAGCGACCTGTGTTCTTCAGGCCTATCCCTTTCTATTCCTCTGACCCCGCCTCCTTTCTCAATGCAGCGACCTCTGTTCCTCAGCACTATCCCTTTCTATTCCTCTGACCCCGCCTCCTTTCTCAATGCAGCGACCTCTGTTCTTCAGCACTATCCCTTTCTATTCCTCTGACCCCGCCTCCTTTCTCAATGCAGCGACCTCTGTTCTTCAGCCCTGTCCTTTTCTATTCCTCTGACCCCGCCTCCTTTCTAAATGCAGCGACCTGTGTTCTTCAGGCCTATCCCTTTCTATTCCTCTGACCCCGCCTCCTTTCTAAATGCAGCGACCTGTGTTCTTCAGGCCTATCCCTTTCTATTCCTCTGACCCCGCCTCCTTTCTAAATGCAGCGACCTGTGTTCTTCAGCCCTGTCCCTTTCTATTCCTCTGACCCCACTTCATTTCTAAATTTAGCAACCTCTATTCTTCAGCCCTGTCCTTTTCTGGTTTTTTGTTTTGTTTTTGTTTTTTGTTTTGAGATGGAGTCTCCCACTGTCACCCAGGTTGGAGTGCAGTGGCATGATCTTGGCTCACCGCAACCTCCACCTCCTGGGTTCAAGCGATTCTCCTGCCTCAGCCTCCCAAGTAGCTAGGATTACAGGCATGTGCTACCATGTCCAGCTAATTTTTTGTATTTTTAGTAGAGACAGGGTTTCACTATGCTGGTCAGACTGGTCTTGAACTCCTGACCTCATGATCTGCCTGCCTTGGCCTCCCAAAGTGCTGGGATTACAGGTGTGGCCCACCATGCCTGGTGGCTAATTCTCTTTTTAAATTCTCTCAGGACTCCTAAAATCTCAAAACTTTGACCTAGATTCCCAAATCTACATTTCCAGCTCTGACCATTTTCTTGAGGTCTCTTCCTTCTAGTACACATATTATAGACAATATTCTCAACCACATGCTCATACATTGCTAATTGGTGCAGATTACTTTTGTAGATAGTGAATCTTGTGTATTTTATGTTGGTTCTCATTAATGTTACTTTGAGTATACTGTTATTGTCTAATCTCAAAGGGGGACTATCTCACTGTTATGATACTAACCAGTATACTTTGTCCTTTTTTTCTTGCTTTCTTCTTTTTTGGACCAGTATACTTTGTCCCTTTTTTGTTTTTCTTTTTTTCTTTTTTTTTTTTTTTGAGATGGAGTCACACTGTGTCATCCAGGCTGGAGTGCAGTGGCACCATCTCGGCTTACTGCAACTTCCACCTCCTGGGTTCAAGTGATTCTCCTGCCTCGGCCTCCCAAGTAGCTGGGACTACAGGTGCACACCAACACACCTGGTTAATTTTTGTATTTTCAGTAGAGACAGGTTTTCACTATGTTGTCCAGGCTGTTTTTGAACCGCTGACCTCAGGTAATCCACCCACCTCAGCCTCCAAAAGTGTTGGGATTACAGACGTGAGCCACGGCACCCAGCACTCTTTTTCTTTTATAATGAAAACTTTCCCATGAGAATCAGATTATCAATTGTTTGCCTTTATTTTCTTTTAAAGAAATTCCTTTTCCATAGAGATGTGGCATGATGAAAGTCTTGTTCTATAGTTTCTTTTGGGGGACACTTAACTATGTCATTGGGAAGCTTCAGTAAGTAGAGATCTCCCTTCTTCTCACTCAAGATTCTTCATCTCAAAATGGTGTCCACCAAATGTCTTAATCCAGGTAGTCTCTTGTTTAGAAGTTCATGAAATAAGAACCTTCTCAAGAAGTTGGAGGCTATTGATTGAGATGGTTTAAAGCTGCCCCTTATTATATGTTTTACTCCCAAGGTAGACATCAAAGTGGCTAATAATTCTATGACTGATGTCTAACTCACTTCTATGGGAATCTATAGAAAATGTTTTATTTATGAGACAGAGTCTCCCTCTGTTACCCAGCCTGGAGTGCAGTGGCTTGATCACCGTTCACTACAGCCTCAATATTCCAAGCTCAAACGACCCTCCTACCACAGCCTCCCAATGTAGCTGGGACTATAGGCATGCATCACCATGCCTCAGCTAAGTGTTTAATTTTTTTTTTTTTTTTTTTTAGAGACTGGGTCTCACCATATTGCTCTGGCTGGTTTCAAACTCCTGGGCTCAAGCGATCCTCCTGCCTCAGCCTTCCAAAACCAGGTGTTTAACTTGGGACTAACATGAAGCACTTAGAAGACTACGTGGAACATAGTGAGCTACATAAAATATTTGCTATTAGCATAATAATTTTATTGCATATCTTAACAAAATTGTGTAAGTTAGGCAGGTGGCATGCCAATGGAAGTATTCTCCTATAGCTGCACTGAATCATTCTTACCACTGAGAGTTGCAGCAAATGGGGGACATAATTTATAACTTACTTTTCTTTCTGTATGACTCATTAGGCAATGACTATATATGTACTACAACGTAAACAGCACCTCCTGGATTGAATAGAACATAACTGACATGACCAGCAGAGACAGGCTAAAGACACTGAGCTGAAAACCCTGGACTCTATTGCTAAATTGAGGCTCCTGAATCCGTTCGCTCTGAGCAACTGTTGCTGTGGTGCTGCCTTCACAAGCACTCTGCTGAGCACTCAGATAGAGGGGCTGTGCTATCCGTCAACAGACAAGCTGCAGCCAGAACTGCTCAGCTGACAAACTGGTAGAGGTCCAGAAACACAGTTCTGCTGCATAGTGAAAAAAGGCCAATTTAGATTCTTTTTCATAGAGAGAAAAACATAAACATGTGATTGAACGAGTCTCCTGTATTAGACTAATTGGGTTGGCTTTGATATTTAATTGCTAAAAATACACTTAGAATATAAACCTTACTGTGTCAAGGTCTCAAAGAATAAATAATTGGTATGGTATAAAGAAGTATTGAATTCTATGCTACAAACTTCTAAGCTAAAATATTTTCAATGTATGCAAGGATAGGTGACATACATATTAGATACTATTCCCCCATTAAGCAAATTTATAATGAGAGAAAATTATCTTCCATAAAAAAATAAAAGCCATGTAAAATTAAGGACTAAGTTTTTCTGCACAGACTAGACAACGATTGCTAACACATAAGGTCAAAGAGAGAACAGTCAGAGAAAGCTTCATGAAAACAATAAATTGTCTGCCACGTCTGAGTGAATGAGGCTAGATGAACAGAAACTGAGAAGGCAGAAAGGATAGCATGAGCAAGACAAGTGCTGAAATCTGCCCAATTAACTCTGAGGATAAAGTCCAATGGCAGGGAAATAAAAACCCGTGTCCACATAATAACCTGTAAGTGAATGTTCGCAGCAGCATTGTTCATAATAGCTAAAAAGTGGAAACTAACTTAAAGGTCCATCAACTGATGAATGAATGGAAAACCAGTATAGCCATGGAATAGTACATCATTTAACTATAAGAAGAAATAAACTACTCATGTGTGCTAAAACATGCATGAATTCTGAAAGCATTATGCTAAGTGAAAAAGCCAGTCACAAAGGACTACATATTGTATAACGCTATGTATACGAAATATACAGAACAGGTAAATATATGGAGACAAAAGTAGATAGATGGTGGTTGCCTACAACAGAGGTAGGTGGAGGGACATGGAGGAAGGCTGCAGTCATGCCTAGGAGATGTGGGGTTGCTTTTCAGGGTGATGAAAATGCTGTGAATATACTAATAGATACTCAGTTGTACATTTTAAATGGTTGAACTCTCTCAAATGTGAATGATATCTCAGTGAAACTGTTTTTAAAATCCAAAGGCAGGATCAAGATAATTTTCTCAACTCTCAATTTTTGACTTACATGCTATATCAAATCTAAATATTTTTAGAGTTTTATAGTATATTTTAAATTAAAGATAAAGAAAATGCCTAAATTTTCAAATAGTTTGTAAATTAACCTAAAACATGCACATTTCAAAGAATAGTATAATGGCCTTTCTGTACAAGTTAACCTGCAATCTGTGAAATAAATAGACACAGATTCTGTGTCCATTCACGAAAGTGAAGAAATAAGACAACTTTCTGGAACTTTCCATGAAATATTCTCCTCTGATTTAATCTGGCCTGCCTCATCAGAACAATACAAAAATTACTTAAAAATACTGTTTTTACAGGAAAAAAGTAAGTTTTCTATGAGGAATGATATATAATTCTCCACTTTTCCAAGGGTACATATTGTAACAGAAAAGGTATGCAATGGTTTTTCAAAATGGTAGAATGAAAGTCACAATATAAAAAAATAAGTACATTATAAAGATAGTAAAATGGAAATAATTCATTGTAATGAAACTAAAAAATCAAGCTTCTGCCAAAATTAGTATCCTAAAACACGTTATATAAACTCAACTAGCTACAGAATAAGAGTTGACATGTTAAATTCCATACACACTTGACTTTTCACTTGAAATAATTTCTTCTTTGGGGCCTGTGTCTCATCCAAATTAATGTGATAATGTGACATACCTTCCAGTGGAGACTCTAACGTAGTTAATATTTTTAGGCTGTCAGCCGCTTCTTGTTGAAGTTGTCTCACAACCACCTGAGAAAATATTTTTGTTACTGATTTTATAAATTGCCTTATTATTAAATTATGTTAATAATATTTAACTCCCTGCCAAATTGGTATTCTCTTACTTACACAACAGGTTCATCCCACCATTCAATCATCTTAGAAGCTCAACTCAACCTCAAAGTTCCTAACATATTCAATCACCTTTTCAAATCCTTCCAACAGATTCCTATCTCAGGATAAAAGTGAAATTCCAATGGCCTTTGAGGCCCTAGGTAAACAGTCCTCTACCTCCCTCTCTGACTTCAAAGCTCCTACAACTCCTTCCTGTAATTACTCCATTCCCACTGTACATGAAGCCTGCCACCCCTCAGTCTGAAAATGGGGATCTAATGCCTTACTCATAAATCACAGGCAGCTACAAGTATCTTTGTACTGAACAAAATTATATTCCAATGATAGTCATTGAGCCTTGAAATAAAAATTATGAGCTAATTATTAATATAAATAGTCAAAGTAAACTATAAATACCAGTGGCAAAACTAAATCAAACATAGTTTTGCTAATTATTACATTCATTCTAAATTATGATTTTATGACATGTAGGTGCCTTTACAACATTACGTAGTCATAAAAATATGTAATTTGAAGTATTTTCAGATTTTTAAAATTAATATGAATAATAACAAAGATATACCAAAAAAAAAAAACACATAAAAAACTACTTAAAGCAAGGTATTACAAGACACAGCAATACACTTCAGTTCATCTGGGAAGTCTAGAATTAAGTGTCGAAGGAAATCACTTAATTAAATTTTAATTTGAAAATACTCATTTCAGGTGTAAACATTTCCATTTATACCTACATTATGGTCTTAACATGTGGCAACATAAAGTCATTAAAATTATTTCAGCAGTACAGAACTATCTATCTTAAAATATGACTCTGTGCCTAATAAAATTTCATAGGTGACACAATGTCTTTTCTCAAAGTAAATCATCTCTCATCTCTACCTTTTATTTCCTAGAAATGAGGCATGTTTCTAAGCTGATATAGTAAACACATTTTTCCTTTTTTTATTAAAACAGCTTTGTTGAAATATAATTTACATACTATAGAATGTATCTGTTTTAACTTAAAGTTAAAAGATTTTTAGTCCATTTACTGAGTTGTGCAGCCATCTCTACAATCCAACTTTACAGCATTTCCATCACTGCAAGATCCCTCATGCCCATTAGCAGTCACTACCAGCTTCTAGTCCCAGCCCTTTGCAAATATTAATCTACTTTTTGTCCCTATACGTTTATCTTTTCTGGATGCTTCACGTACATGGAATTATACAGTATGGTAAACACACTTTTTATCTATTGATTTTTATATTCAACTAAGTTCAACATGTATCCAGAACCAAATGTTTAAATTTTCTTTCTAGAAGTTTGAAAATATTTATCTTCCTTGATACTTACTACTCTTTCTGCTTTCTCTCTCTCATATTGAAAGAGACTTTCTTTTAAATGATCACATTCATTCATTACCTTCTTATTTTTCTCTTCTAGCATGAGGTCTTTCCACTCTCAATAAAGCTTCTTTGGATATTAGTTATTATCTCTTTATGATACTCTTTCTGATGAACATCATCTAGTTGCTGTTCAATGCACGGATTTTCATGTTGGAGTTGACATATTCTCTCTTCTACACAGCTCCACTTTCCAGTGGAATTATTCTCTTTAGCTTCTGCATTTTCATACATCTCTTTCATTTCCTTTATTTGCTGCTGTGTTTGGCTTAGGTTGTTATGTACAGTTTCTAAAGCCAATGACTTTTTTCTGAGAGTATCTCTTGTCTTAAGGAACTTATCTTTTAAGGTATTGAATTTAATTTGTGGTTTAGAAAGTTGTTCAGTAAGAAACTCATTCTTATCTTCTACTTCGGAAATATCAGAACTCATTTTTACTTGTACGGAAACATCTTGAGTTCTCTCTAAAGCAAGTTTTAGGTTTCTTTCTGTTTTCACACTTTCACTGTGTTTACTTATAGAAGCAGCCAGTCTAGACTGATAAGATTCAGTTTCAGCTTCCAGTCTTTTGTTGCTTTCTTCTTCCTTCAACAGTCCGGAACTGAGCCTTGTATTCTCAGCTTTGAGATCATTAAGCTCTTGTTGATACCGGAATGCTGTTATTGTTATCAATTCCTCATTGAGTTTTATATACTTTTCAAGGACAGCATTTGTTTCTTTAACAATTTTAACTTCCTTAAGTTATTTATTTTCTTTTTCCAGGTTGTCATTTTTCATTGTGCACATTTCCTGTCTGAATATAGCAATATCTGTATTCAAAATGCAATTTTAATCCATCAGATCTTTCATTTCTTCGTGATTATGAAAATCCTAAATAAAACTAAAGAAAGTTTTAGCTAGTACTCAATAAAATATCGTGATTACCTCTGAAGTTAAAGAATAACCTGCACATCCATACACTAAAAAGGTTACTGTAAGTGGATATCCAACTGGAGACAAAGTTGAAGCAACACTTTGAACCTTATAGAGCATAAATTCCAAAAAGTTCAGAAATTTATTTAAAGTCAATGAATTTATAAAAGTAAACACACACACACACACACACACACACACACACAAACCAGAGAATTTTTAAGAATTTCAGAATTGGAAAAGCCTTTCCTTGAATTACAACAAACTGAAAAGCATAAATTAAAGCATTAACAAATTTGACTAAATTAAAATATATCAAAAAATTGCATTTACACTTTGATATCTAACCCATACAACACCCTATAGTAAGAACCTTGGTTCACACGTATTTGGACAGATAAAATTTCCCAGAGTTATTACAGTTCTGTTTCGCTGATAACATTCTATTTCAATTTGACTCTTTTAACACTTTTATATTCAGTTGTAAGAATTACATTTACTAAATCATAAATCTAGACATTATACTAGTCACTCCTATATACATTCATTGATGAACTCATCTAGTTATCACAATTTTGAAAAAGAAATGTTAAAAATATAAGCAAGCTACAGGATTTTCCCCAGGACTTCTGACTCTACTTCTAGTTCTCTGACATATCACAGTTACTTCTGTGGTGTAAATATATCCATATGGAAGAAAACTTTTATTTCAAAACACCAATGGTAAATAAGATAAAATTTATAGAGCTCTTCTTAGAATATCATGAGATTATTTGTGATTGCAATAATTTGTTTCCTCTTTATAATATTAGGTACAGTAATCAATATGAAATAGGGGAAAGTACAAGGAACAATTTTACTGGGAACAGAATCTTTATCAATAGGTTATCACTAAGTATATACTATGGCATATTATTGTTTTCAAAAGCTCTTTGTTATAAAATAATATCTTATGTGGATGCCAAGATTTATAATAAATATTAATAATTGTACCTGTAAGTGGCATCATTCATTTTTTAAAAATGAGATAACATTTCTGGTTTGTTTTAGATCTAAATATTATATATTAAATCAAGAGAATATTAGAAGAAACTTTCATAAAATAGTTTAAAATATAGAATTTTTACCAAAGATTGATTTATCTGATTTGGAGTATTTCTTGCAGTCTTTGTTTTCATCTCTAGTGATTGAACAGTTGGTTCAAGTTGCTTTGCTTCAACTTCTTTCTTATGTTGTTTCTCTTTCCTTTCTAATTCTTCTCTATTTTTTTGTACAGCATATTAACATTTGTTTTTTCTTTATTTTCTTATCTTAAGATGCATCTGCAGATAAAGACATTTATCTTAAAACTCATTTTGTTAAAAAATAAAGAGTTCATCCTGTGATCTACCTCTGCAGATGCTCTTTATCATCCTAATAAAATTTCTGTGTTCTGAATTATTTTTCCTGTTTAGTTCTCAGATATTTAATCTCTCACTTCAACATCTTCAAAAGAATGCATATACTTGAAAAGTAGTAAGGAAAGAATATTCTGCTGAAGTTTTTGTTACTAGTCACTCTAGCATATATTATAAAAAAGGATACTGGAGATAATTCAGTATAGTTAGAATTTCAAAATTACCTTTTCAAATCACACAGTCATAATTACTCCCCGATTAGAAAAGGTCATTTACAATCAACTAAATTTTTAAAGTTACTATTTATTGACAAGCGTATAAGTTCACTAGAAATAAATTTTCATCTTTATGAAATATTGCAGGTGTCTCTCCAAATGATTTACAGAGTAAGATGTCTCTCACACAAACTATATCTGCAGATGATTGTCAACTAAAACTAGGCTAAAGGGTCTAACATCTGTTACCCCACACTTTTTATAATTCTTTCTTAATACTTCCAATTCACCTTCTTATTACATATATTTTATGTATTTATTAAGCTATTGTTCATTATGTGTAATATATAATTAATGCCCTTAATAAGTGTATGTTTACACAAGTTATGTTTTCCTGTGAAATCTAGTCCCAGAAGTGGAGTTGTTGAGTTAAAGAGATGTCAGGTTATTTGAAATTTTGATACACAGCACTAAGTTACCCTTCAGAAATAATTTACCAATTTCATATACCAACAGTGTATGAGAATGCCTTTTTCCTCACATTTGCCAATGGTAGTAATTACTTTTTCAATACCAGCATGACTTTACAAAATATATCTTATTTTATGTTAATTTGCACTTTTCTGATTACCAGGCAGGGCTAAATATCTCTGGTAAAAATATAAAACTTGTTAATCATAAGGAATATTAGTCCAATTTTGAATTAGTTTATAGCACAATGACAATTGTCTGCTGCGAAATACTGCTATAGGTGGCCAGGCACGGTGGCTCACTCCTGTAAACCCAGCACTTTGGGAGGCCGAGATGGGCAGAACGCCTGAGGTCAGGAGTTCGAGACCAGCCTGGATAACATGGTGAAACCTCATTTCTACTAAAAATACAAAAAATTAGCTGGGCATGGTGGTACACGCCTGTAATCTCAGCTGCTAGGGAGGCTGAGTCAGGAGAATCACTTGAATGCAGTAGGCATAGGTTGCAGTGAGGTGAGAACACACCATTGCACTCCAGCTTGGGCAAGAAGAGAGAAACTCCACCTCAAAAAATAAATAAATAAATAAATAAACACTGCTATAGGCTTACTTACCTATGATGCTCTTCCTTCAGCTTCTTGGTAAAAGGCTGAGGATAGGTTTTCCCAATATTTCTTTGTTGGGTTAATCTGTCAGCAGCAGCAGCAGATGTACTATGACATACATTTTCTGATAGTTGTATTTTTTCACTTTTGTTTGTATTATTTCCTTCTTTGACCTTTAACAAAAGTAATATGAATAATAATTATTATTTTATTCAATAAAAAGAAGTTTTTCCCTGATTTTTTCACTTGATTCAGGTTAACTATCACCGTTTTAATGATAAAAATATTTTGTGCTTACTTTAATTTTATCATTATACATAATTATTATAATTATAAGATACTCATCATTTTATCATTGAAATTTTTGTCAAGTCTGCTCATTTCTGTTTGAGTGAATAGAAGAATTTTCCAAAATTTCAAAAAGGACTCTTCTCCATTTTGTGCTTTTATTCCCATCCACTCTTTGCTATCTGATATAAATATTTATGTTATCTGACTGGCAGAAACAGAGAAATAAAAAGACACAGGCATAACATATATCTTCTGTCATTGCCACCTGGATTTTACATGAAATAGCCAGATTAAGAGGATGTGACCTTGTAGGGCTTCAGGAACAGTAAAGAAGTTTTCCCTTTTCTACACTGAGCTATTCTTTTCCCCATTGCCTTTTATCTCTTTTTTTTTTTAATTCTGGGATATCAAAAAAGTGAAAGTTCTCCCTGAACTATGGGAACCAAAGTTTGCCACAACACAAGAAGCAGAGTGAAACTGCTGAGTTTCCAGTGCAGAATTCTGGAAAACGACATGCTTCCCAGATTTCACATTCAATTATCAGAAAAGTTATAGGTGGAAAACATACGGTACAGTTATCTACTTTAGCCCCATTATCTACTGAAAATGGGAGTCAAACTAACAAAGACATATGAAATGTTTCATCGAGAGCTCTTGAGGTGGCATTCTCTAGCATTTCATGGCACCAAATAACATGATACAATTCCATATTGCTGAATTACATAAATTACCAAATAAATTTATCAAATTAGTCAGATATATTAAAAGTCTAAGTTGAGCAAAGCAATTTAACGCCTCAGAGGGTGGAAAAAGGCCTCATCTGCTTTTACTTTGAAGAAGAAAATCTCTAGATTTTGTCTATCTTTAGGACACAATGTACAGAACTCAACTTTCTACTAAAGAATCAAAGGATAAATTTTTATCTAAGAAATTATGCTTCTTACATGATAAAAATCACACATGCCAAAACTTATGATACTTTATTAAACAACATAATGTAAGGACTGATTCAACAGAAATATTGGAGTGGTGATTTTTTAAAATATGTGGAAGTATATATTTGTTTTCAAAATATTGGAAATAACCATGATGGAACTATAAGTTCAAACAGTTTGAGCTAAGCAGATGAACTTGCATGCATGAAAATACATTAAACAGACTCATTTGGCTGGGAATATTCATTGCAACTCTCAAGGCTAGACGTGTTTTTGTGGCTCGTCTCAGTCATTGCTTCCCTCCCATTGTATTCCCATTCTATCATTAAATAAATGTAATTCATCTCTAAATGAATACAGAAAAAAGAATCTAGAATCTAAAGCTTATTTCTTTAGCAATTTCTTTATGTTGATCTCATTCAGAAGGTCACGTGGTATATGGCTGAATTAGTTTCCCAGCTCATATGCCACTTGGAAGACTGAGAGTGAGACTTAGGTTGATTAATGAAGAAACATTATGAGAACATTCTCCAGAACCATTGTTTAGATAGCAGGACTAATCTACTTTGACACATAATTACACATTTAGAAAACCCCGCTGTAACTGTACACATGAGATTTTCTTGAATAGAAAATTTGACTAAATCAAATAATTGATAAAGAGAAAAAAGAAGCAGCAAGTGAACCTCTGTCTTTTTGAAGTTGGACTTTCTGTTTCTCCAAAGCCAGGAGCTCTACTTGTAACATGCCTACCTCATTCTTTTTACTATTATTATACTTTAAGTTCTGGTACATGTGCACAATGTGCAGGTTTGTTACATATGTATATATGTGATATCTTGGTGACCTTGAAATATCTTGCTGTAAGTCTTCTAGCTATATTTTTGATGTTCTCTCACTATGTGGCAAAGAATAACCCGCATTTTATAGTTCAAGATTCATGGTTTTGTAGTTATTAACACTGGGATTTTCATACAGCGGCTTCTGGAATAAGCACTGTGTTGGTTTTCTGTTTTTATAAGTATCTGTAGCAGCAGAAATACTGTGACTTTCTATCTGAATCATATGCTTCATTTCTTTGGGGTGGGTAAACCACAAATCAAAAAGGCTTTCTGGATCTCTAGACTGAGACCAATGCCTAATTTCCAATTAGTGGTATTTGGGTTTATATATTTTTCCATTTGCATGTCAAACTCTTAATCATCTTTCATTTCAATCATAATTACTGGGTTCCTTACTTTTTCAGTTTCTATATCATAACAAAAATTTCCATCATCTGTGTTAGAAACAAGCTGTGTGTCTGGTTTGTTATCATTTTTATAGTCTGATTTATTTTAAATTAAATGAAGCTTAGAAGATGACTGGTAAGTGTATTTCAGGGACCTGGAGTGTGAATGGAATAAAAAGACATTTGACATGGGCTTCCTCTGTTCAGGCGCTGCCTGGACTGCCACAGAGCTAGACCCTCCAGATACATTTTTCTCCTCACAATCAGGGACATGATTCATCAGACTAGAGGGCACTCCTTTTTTGTTCATCCCTCTTTAGAGTTACCATGTAGGAGCTCTTCCTCAGGGCAAGTAGTAATTTTGGAGTTTTCAGAACTTTTACCAATATTCAGCTTGAACTTGTTTGTAATGAATTTTAAAGAAAGTCATGAATATATAGATTGATTCCCTTTATCACTGTTCTTACCCAGTTCTGGTTCTTGAGACTTTTTTTGGTGGGGGGCAGGTGCAAAATGGAAAACAA
The DNA here is from genome assembly GCF_000001405.40 of Homo sapiens. Classification (NCBI taxonomy): domain Eukaryota; kingdom Metazoa; phylum Chordata; class Mammalia; order Primates; family Hominidae; genus Homo; species Homo sapiens. The sequence continues at coordinate 26,186 of NT_187506.1, read as the reverse complement.
ATTTGCTTGTTTTGTTTCTCAGATGTCTTTTCTGTCAGAGTGCATGTTTTAAAATTAGCTTTAATCAAGTATAAACAAAGAAATATTAGAAAATAATTAAAATTTAACTGTGAAACTTAATCTATGTGTTGCTACTCTTAAATTATGGGATTGTAACTAAAAAGTGAAAAATAATTTGCTTTGGCTTAACATAGGACAGAAACATGAACCAGCAAGCTGAACTCTCACTGTCTGTTTGGACTAAACTTAATGCATTTGTGTAAAATCTACCAGAAATGAATTCAAAGATGATAGGTAGTATTATAAAAGCTTCCTCTCTTACAAAGACTTTACCTCAGCATACCAGAAAGAGTGAGCCCCTACAGTGCATGTTTATTTCTGAAGATTAACTAGAGCACTAGGCAAACACTAAATTATTAAGAGCTAAACTGAACACCAATAAGAAAGAGAAGTAAAATTTTAAATTCTAATTCAAATGATATACTATGATAGTGTTATGTATCTAGATAGAATTTCTGCTTATATCCACTTCTAATATATTTTAAGTTCCAGTAGTGATAGGGTTTGGATTTTTTAAATTTCAGTAATGTTTACTATGTATTTATGTTGAAATAAAGTTATTGTTCACACCCTGACACCAAAGGTCCCATTCTGCAAGGTAGGATTCTCTTAATAGGCAACTGCATTGACTTTTATGACCCCATTCACTCCCTGAACACAGACACAGAAGTCAACTGGTGACCACAAAACAGAATAAATCTTTAACCTCGGCACTGGTGACCAGCAATATAAAACTGCAACATTTGAAGCACTGGCAATGATGACTCCTTTAACACTAGTTTAACTCAGTGGCCATTGTTGTTAAACTGTTCATAATTTCTATTCCTCAGTAATATGACCCAATACTTCATGTTACCTTGTGTATTATGAGTAAGGTTATATAAATAAAACAGCAAGGTAATTCTGAAAATTTCTTGCCTCAATTCTAAGGGTAAATACAGCTATGAATTACTAGAGATACTAAGAATTACTAGAATAACTAATAGTTACTAGAGATAGTAAGAATATCTTAAGTTTCATAACTGGTTAAGATGTTTTAAAAATTAAATATAAAATTATGATCTATTGGATTCTAAAGGTATAGTCTGAAAGGTCATGTCATTTGGACTATGCTTTGTTAGTAAAGCAAAAAAAAACCCTAATATTAAACAAGAACTTAAATTTTCATATACCTGTGATTGCTTCTTTTCACTTCTTTCACACCTTTCTTGCTCTTCCTCTAAAGCCACTGGTAAGGTTTGTTCTGTTGACAAAGTCATTGATTTAGTTCAAATGAACTAAGAAGAGTTAGATAAGGACTATAATCTTTATAAAAATAAATAGAGAATAACATTTCTTTGTATTTTATATTTTGAGAGTTTGAATGAAACAATGTTTACTGAAATATTTACTTCTGTAAGAAATACTTCTAATTATCCAAAACTTCAACAAACCACTTGGGGAGACACCAGATATCACCAGATTCAAGCCATGTAAAATCTCAGGGTCACTCACAAATTGTTCCACCCAACATAAGTCAACAAAACTGTTGGAAACAAAACAGAAATTTGAAATACAGTCAAAATATACAACGTAATGCTTTATTATACTTCATAACAGTATCTTTTTAACAAGACACTAATTGAGTTGGCAGTTACTAATAATTTGCAAAATTATTGTTGTTTATACCTCAATTAGTGTGCACCCCATTTTTTACATCACAAATGTTTTCCCCTGCTATTCTGAAAAATTTATTTTCATCTTTTAAGACTCAGAAAGTAGGCTGGGCATAATAGCTCACATCTGTAATCCCAGCACTTTGGAAGGCCAAAATGGGAGAATCGCTCAAGGCGAAGAGTTTAAGACCAGCCTGGGAACCATAGGTAACCTTGACTCTACAAAAAATTAGACAGGTATGGTGATATGTTCCTGTTGTCCCCGCTACTCAAGAAGCTTAGATGAGAAGATCCCTCGAGCCCAGGAGTCTGAGGTTTCAGTGAGTCTCAATCATGCCATTGCACTCCAATCCTGGGTGATAGAGTAAGAACTTGTCTCCAAAAAGAGGAAAAAAAAAAGGCTCAGAATGCTATGTGAAATCTTCCTTGATTCTAGGTATCTTTCTCCACACACAGAGGTGTCTGCTTCGTTGGGGTCCCTTAGTACCTTGTCAATTTTTCTAGTGTCACTTTACCACCTGACCTGCACATCATGTCTTTACATGTTGACCCCTTTGCTGCTAGACTGTAGAGGATAATCTTTTGAATCATCTTTGTATAAGCAGTCTTAATTTTGCTAAATAATTACTTATTGAGTTCCTGCTAAGTGTTAGGCACTGGGGAATAAGGAAGGAAAATAGAAGCTGTCAGGGATGGCTTTCCTAAAGATCATCCATGAGCTGAGACTTAGAGAGTGAGGTTAGCCAGATTAAGCGAGGCAGAGGGCAGGAAAGGGTGAGCACATGCCAGGCAGCAACAAGAGAGGAAGAGAAGCCTCCAAGAGCGTATGTATTTCTCTGCAGAAGAGGAATGGTGAGGGGGCCATTACCAGCAACTCAGTAATTCCAGAGAAAAAGGCAGATGGGGAAAGGGATACAGATGGAGATTTGGGCAGAAATCAGTTTCCTTTTCTTTTCTTTTTTGGGACAAGGTTATACTCTGTCTCCCAGACTGGAGGGCAGTGGCATGATCTCAGCTCACTGCAACCCGGCCTCCCAGGTTCAAGTAATTCTCCTACCTCAGCCTCCTGAGTAGCTGAGATTACAGGCGCGTGCCACTACCACCTGCTAATTTTTGTATTTTATTAGAGATGGGGTTTCACCTTGTTGGCCAGGCTGGTCTTGAACTCCTGATCTCAAATGATCCACTTGCCTCAGCCTCCCAAAGTGCTGGGATCACAGACATGAGCCACCGTGCCCAACCCAGAAGTCAGTTTCTGAAATCCTTATATAAACCTTTAAGATGCTTAGACATTAGGTATTCAGGAGTGATTCACGGATCTATTTGCATTAGGGATAATTCACTCTAAATACTGTGAGGAGCATAAAATTCTGAGGCATATAAATCAATGAACAAAGATAAAATATAAGGCAATGTTGCAAAGATGATGCAGGCCTGAGGAGATGTTTTCAGAAATATTTAGGATATAGGTATCAGTGGCCATTATAAGAATGAATTTCTATTGAATAAATAAATGTATATATCTCGGTCCCTGGAGAAATACACTCTGCTCATTACTTTACAAATTTTATCAATCAAATGAGAAGTAAAGTAATATACATAAACTCTTTCAGTTACTTGTATTTACTTTACCCTTTTTCTGTTTCAGTTTTACTGTGCCAAGGAAATGCATTTGGGTTTTGTGGTGGTTGTTGTGGTTGTGGTTGTGGTTGTGGTTGTTTTTGTTTTTTGAGATGGAATTTCACTCTTCCTGCCCAGTCTGAAGTGCAGTGGTGTGACCTCAGCTCATGGCAACCTCTGCCTCCTGGGTTCAAGCGATTCTCCTGCCTCAGCCTCCCAAGTAGCTGGAATTACAGGCATGTGCCACCATGAACAGCTAATTTTGTGTTTTTAGTAGAGATGGGTTTCTCCATGTTGGTCAGGCTGGTCTCAAACTCCCAACCTCAAGTTATCTGTCCGCCTCAGCCTCCCAAAGTGCTGGGATTACAGGCACTAGCCACCGCACCCAGCAACATATGGGGATTTTGTTTTAAAAGTTCTGTTCCCTGGATCTACCAAGCTCATGAGAAAATAGAGCAAACAAGTCATTTGCATAGGTAAGAAACTTTGGATTTATAGCTTGTCCTCACTACTCTAGAAGATTATCATCATGTTTTGCAAAGCAAAATGTTAAACACAGACATAAGGGGAAAAAGAAATTAAAACTATAGGGGTGGGTGAAAAAATATTGCATAATTTATTACTGTTGACCTCATCATATGACTGATTAAGGGCACTGAATTTAACTTGGATGTGAAGTAGACCTCATATTAGCTGCAGTTAATCAGTAGACCAGGCGTCCTAGCAGAATTAAATTTGATGCTCCTGTGTTATCTTTAAATGACACAGCTTTTCTGAAAACCCTTACTCATAGTGCGTGATTATCCATTAAGAAAAGGTGATGGAATATGTGAATACAGCTGAGGAGACACCACAAGGCAAATGCTCAGTGGTTCCCATTAATATTGGGAAAATCAACACTATAAAACAAAAAGCCATAGACATTATTTAATATTTGGTTTTGGGAGGTATTTTTAGTGACACTGCATACAGTTGTACCTAATAATTGCTAAATTAGAGACGTAAAAGTAAAACAAAGGCACATTGTGTTTGAGTAGGAAATCTATAGACATCTAGCTGGTTTTCCCATCCAGCCACAAAATTCTAAATATAATCATGGTACCTGTACTCAAATTTATGTTAAATACCAACCTCAATGAAATCACTCTTTCTTCTCATTCCCTTTCTTATTTATATGTTGCTTTCCTTAAGGGAAGAATACAAATGCCTTGCTAAGAACCATTCTGTTTGGTTGTAGGCTGCATAAGGGGAGTGAACACAAAGTATATTTGACCACAAAATGACTCTTTAAAAGTCAGAACTATGGTAGCATGAAGCCAAACGAGGTAATCTAGAATAAAATTTTCTATGCTTCTTTCCCTTCTTTGCTCTCTTTCTACTCTAATAACTGCGATTCACACAGGTAATGAAGAGTGTAATTCCTTGATAGAAACACAGCTCCAAGATTAATCCTTTCTTTAACTATGAAGTTCGCATGTCCAAAATCTATGGTAGTTGCTGTCTGATTTTTGATCACTGATGGTGATACAGATATTTATCATCAACTCACAACTTCCCAAATCTTTGAAAAGTCTTACTATTGATGGTTCAACTAGTAGAAACATGATGTAAAATATCTGAAAATAAAGTTTTTATTTATTAGAATGTAAATAATAATACAAATTGTAATAAGGTGTAAAAGTTCTTTCTTCACTGAAGCAGTACCATGTTGTCCTCTACCCCACAAATGCACTACTCCCCCGTGGTCCAATGTATTTTAAAAGTCTTGTAATTGCTATTAACTCAGACAAGTTTACTTAACTTGTTCTAAGCTTCTGGTATTTACTACAGTTTACTTTCAATCACTCAACCATCTCTGTTATATATGTTGTTTTCCATGAGAAATTTGTTTATTAGTAATTAAGATTCTTCAGGGATAGGAAAATATTTGAATAACTAAGTTTGTGCATAAACACATTAAGGTCAAATACCCATGATACTATTGTGTGTTTCTGTGTACTAGAGAAAAAAACTTCAAAAAAAATTTTAATGAATATACTTTAAATTAAAAACTGCTTTCATTAAACTGAGATAATCTTCCCTCAATGCATGAATACCTCCAGAATTCACATAGACCAAAGAATTGTATAAAATATAATAGCCTTAAAAATCTTATTTGTAGTTGGCACAGTGGCTCCCACCTGTAATCCCAGCACATTGGCAAGCCGAGGTGGGCAGATCACCTGAGGTCAGGAGTTCAAGAGCAGCCTGGCCAACCTGGTGAAACCCCATCTCTACTAGAAATAGAAAAATTAGCAGGGTATGGTAGCACGTGCATGTAGTATCAGCTACTCGAGGGGCTGAGGCAGGAGAATTGCTTGAACCTGAGAGGCAGAGGTGGTAATGAGCCAAGACTGAGCCACTGCACTCCAGCCTTGGTGACAGAACAAGACTCTGTCTCAAAAACACAAACAAACAAACAAAAAACCTAATTGTTCCCATATAAGTCTATGTTCATACAAGATCTGAAGAGTACACAACACCGTGAGACAGGACAGACATATATTTTAAAAGTTATATTCCTGATTTCTGTAAAAATAAAATAGTTGAATTTAAGCTTTCAAGACAAGTCAACGAAAAGAGCAAAAAATGCAAAAGTGAAACTCGAAAGGTCATTTCCCCATCAAGGGCTCATGATCACTGGACATTCACAAACTATACTGTTCAAAACATTAGATCTGAATTTTGATCCGAGTATCCCTTTAGTAGCAGTTTCATTCAAGGATGTCCAAGAGGTAAAATAAGACAATATCATTTGCTATTTTCAGTTTTCTTTTCTGAGAACAGCCCAGCATTCTTCTTCAGAGAAATGAATTGTCCTAACTTCATAGGCTAAAGGCTCATGAGTCATAGTTCTAAGGGCATTAATAAAATATGGTGGTGCATGCTTGTATTCTGAACTTTTCAGGTTTAAACTCTCATATAGTAAATGCTAATAGATACAAACTGATTAAAGAAAAGCCCTCTTAAACTGACATTATTTTTCTTTTTATTTCTTCATTTATCAGCAACAGGAGAGTCTAACTAAATGTGGTAAAGTGGTATGAGGGAATACAATGAACAGTGTAAAATGAATTAAACCAGAGATAATCACACCAATGTGGGTACAAGTGGAAAATATAATACAAAACACACCAAAGAAAGTGGCAGAAAGGTATATAAAGTATATAACCACTCACATACTATTTTAGGACACAAAAAATTCTGCATATTATTTCTGGGCATCACAATGTAGTTAAAGATTTCAAAAGGGCATTGAAATGAAAAACAACCAACTTATGATGTTGGTAGCCTCTATGCAATCATGTTTTAAAAACTTTAACACTAAAAAGGCTCAAAATCACCATTTTAAAAGACTGTGTCTACCAGTCATAAATGAATCATTACTTTCGTCATTTGTAATAGTGAAAGATGCCACAAGCGCACGCATACACACATCTATATATACACCTACACACACAGTCTTGCTCATTAGAACATCTGATAAGCTTCAGATCATCAGTGTAATAACACTAGCAGCAAGCCTCTGAAGTTAAAACAGAAACTGACACTTTAATAGGTAAAGCTTTCCTCTAGGTAAAGATCAGAACTCCAACTAGCACTTAACTCACTGGAAATATCTTAAGAGTCTCAAAATTCACTGCTTTGAATCCCTGACAAGTATAAAAATTTTATACTGAAAACTTCATGCTATTCAAAACATTAAAACAGAAACATCTGACTTAAAGCTTACATTTTTAAAATCTTTTTTATGCTTCTAAATTTGTTTTTATTCAAATATGGATACCAACAATAACATTTATGTCAATGCCTTCTGTTCAATATTGAACAAATAGAATTAGGAATAAGAATAATATGAGTACATCCAATCATTGAATGTACTTTATTTCCAGTATTACATCAAATGTACCTGCTCTCAATGTCTGTACTTTCTTTCTTTGTACTGCTCCTTTCACAGCAGGATCTTCCACTTCAGTGCTAGGCTGAATGGGTTTTAAAAGAAAACGATTCATAAATCATATATATTTTATACAACATGGAGTTAGTGATTCAAAAATATACATAATTAATTATCTTCAAGGAAGGATGTTTTGCAGGAGGCCCTACAAAGCAAAGGGGATATGTCATCAATTATATGTAAGTATGACAGGACCAACCAAACATTCATGCAGTGTTACTGTCGAGCTGAATTCTCAGGCCTGGCTATAAAAATATTTACTTAAGGTTTTGAGGGTTCTTCTTGGCTTCGTCTTTTCATTGCCTAGGACAGCAACATGACAGAAACACAATGAGGAAAATAGGAATATAGGATTCCCAAAATGCACAGTTTACATTTCAGTAGTGAGATTATGTTTCAAATGCCTATACTTAAAATAGAAAAGCATTGATATAACCGTGAACACGTGGACTAATGAGGAGAAAAGGGACCATTAAACAGAGGGGCAAATCAAACCTGAGAGAATCAATGTCAAAGCTGATGGTGAATGTACAGAGTATTTTAACTCCACACACCAGAGGCATTGCTGCCAGCACAGCACAAATAAATTCCCCTTGTCTTGTCACTGAGGAAATACTCAGTTGGGATGACAGTTCAGGTGAATGTGGGATTCACCTCTCATCAAAGAAAGGGTTCTACATTGATCAGCTAGGATACACACTTATGAAATAACAGCTAATCAAAGTACTCATTTTTCCCATGATCACATGGGCTACTGCAGCACCTACATTTCTCCTATCCCCTCATTTGGCCTTGAATTAGAGCTCCTTGATCCACTCATGCAAGGTGGTCCATAAAACACATCAAATAAACCATGTCGAATAAGCTTCTGATATCAAAATATTTATCAAAAAAGAAAACATTGAATGACCACAGACTTGCTGGATATTAATACATATTTATATTTCAAAATCAGTGCAGTATTTATTAAAAATGATAATTTTGGTTTTCATGGAATGAATTTTATGATTACTTCTAAAATTAACTAAGTTTGGTATATTATCTTACACTGTAAAGGACTTTTATAAAACAGCTATCATATCAAAGAACTGGCTGTCTCAAAAAAATTTCGCCAAAGCATCTATATGCAACTTAATCATATCTTATTCACTCATGTCAGTGAAACTTCTCTCCCTGAGGCCTGACAGTTATCAAGTGAAATGAGCTGCTGTGGTTTACCCCAACTCTAGCACTCCCTCCTGTCTCCAGTACTCTCCACAGCAATAACCTCTTTTGTGAGACTGGGCATATGCTGAAGCAACTGGAAGTGAGTTGTCTCAAGTTTACTTGGCTTTAACTCCCAAGACCCCAGCAAATGTCTTTCTTTCCTCCTTTTGTGTCCATTCACCATCCCTCTTCCTTTGAAAAAATGATTATCAGAACTGTCATCCTGATGCTTCCCTTCCTAACTGCTTTATATGGATGATTGTGACCACTTTTTTCATCTGTATTCAGCAGTAGTATACACCTGTAATCTCTCTTTTTTCATCTCATTTTCCTTCCCTTGTGGCTAGAATCATGCTCAGAAATAAAAGGAAATTAAAGCTTTCCCTGGATTCTGTTATTTTTTAAATTGCTCTCCAGTGGTTCTTTTTCCAGATTTCTCTAAAGGAAGGCTATTCCCTTGCTATTCAGAGCTGTGTCCAAGGACCAGCACAAACATCACCTGAGTGCTCATGAGAAATGCAGACTCCAATACCTGCTGAGTCAGAATGTGCACTTTCCAGAAGCTCCTCAACGAATTCATGACAATTTGAATGCCCTGTTCTACACTGGTGTGCTTCCATATTGGTTTACCCTAATTGGCCTTTTTGGCCTAGCCTCAACTTCTTTCCTATTATGTCCCTGAATTTAATACTACGTTATAAGCCATAATGTTTCTAATGAACTTTTAATCAGGCAAAGCTTCTCTAATTAATTTCTTCCCAATAAATCACCCAACACTATTCTTTTCATTTTCTATAAAAACAAATTATAGCCATACATGGCTGACCATTTACGGTGATGTTCATCTATGGTAGATAAAACACAGGTCTGCATGGTAAAGTACCTCAATCCTTAATGCCTCCCCAGTAGCAAGAATGACAGCAAGAGAAGGAAAATGTTACTGTAATTATATGACACATTTTGGTACTGGAAGCTCACTTTATCTTCCTTCCTATTTCTAACACCCTGTTCTTCCTTCTTCTACAGATCAATTTGACTTTACTACCCTCCATTACATACATCCACTTTTTTTTATTTATTCCATGTACACTCTGCCCTCCTCATTCTTTCTTTCTCTTTTATTCATTTCTTCTTCCCTCTCTCCTGACTTGCCTCAGGTCTTAGAGTATGTTAAAATGGAACTCATAACTCAGCTCCTTTAGTGGTACTTCCAATAGAATCAACTGCTGACCCTTGGTTAGAGACACCACTTATCACCTTTTCATTTCTCTTTTACTTATGATACAGTTAATAGGACATTTTCTTTAGCTATTAAACTCTATTAGTGCTCATATTTTAAAAGAAACATTCCATCAATGACTTTTTTTTTTTTTGAGATGGAGTCTCACTCTGTCACCCAGGCTGGAGTGCAGTGGCACGATCTCCGCTCACTGCAAGCTCCACCTCCCAGGTTCACACCATCCTCCTGCCTCAGCCTCCCGAGTTGCTGGGACTACAGGCACCCGCCACCATGCCCGGCTATTTTTTTGTGTTTTTAGTAGAGATGGGGTTTCACTATGTTAGCCAGGATGGTCTTGATCTCCTGACCTCATTACCCGCCAACGTCCGGCTCCCAAAGTGCTGGAATTACAGGCGTGAGCCACCGCGTCTGGTCTCCATCAAATGACTTTTTAAATAAAATACGGTTCTCACCTTCTCCTTTTCCATTGACTATTCTGTTTCCGTTTTCATGAGAAGGTCCACGTAAAGGCTCTGACACTTTCTGGGGGACACACTGCTAAGGTAATATCAAGAATTAGTTTCCATTTAAAATTATAATGAGTTGCATCAAGAGTTTCTTATCAATCTCTTTTTATGAAACTGGGTCTCACTCTGTCAACCCAGGGCTAGAATGCAGGGGCCTGATTATGGCTCACTGTGGTCTCAAACTCCTGACCTCAAGCAATCTTCCCACCTCAACTTCCTGAATAGCTGGAACTACAGGTGCATACCATCATGTCATGCTAATGTTTTTATTGTTATCTTTGTAGAGACAAGGCCTCATTATACCTCCCAGGCTGGTCTCAAGCTCCTGGGCTCAAGCAAATCTTCCACTTCTGCTTCCCAAAATGTTGAGATAAGCATTGTGCACCACCACACCCAGCCCTAATCAATTTCTTTAAATCAATCTCAATGTTGCCCAGGCATGGTGGCTCACACCTGTAATCTCAGCCCTTTGCAAGGCCAAGGTGGGTGGATTGCTTGAGTTCAGGAGTTGGAGACCAGCCTGGGCAACATAATGAGGACACATCTCTACACAAAAAATACCAAAAGGAGTCAGGCATGATGGTGTGTGCCTGTAGTCCCAGCTGCTTGGGAAGCTGATGTGGGAGGATCACTTGAGCCTGAGAGGTGGATACAGCAGTGAGCCAAGATCATGCCACTACACTGCAGCATGGACAACAGAGCTAGACCCTGCCTCCCCAAAAATTTCAATTTAAAATGTGAGAACAAAGAGAGATACAAACAAAAAACAAGCCTAATTAGTCAATGAAATATGAGCTTAAGCCAAGAAAGAAAACGAAAAACATGAAGTACAATAAAGTACATGGGGAAATAGATCTATAACAGAGCCTTCGGTCTTTCATAACTCTGATAATACTAATTAGTATTTATGCTGCAATTAGTTTTTTGTAAGTACTTCTGTGATAGTGTTTCTTACTATAAGACATTCAATTAGCTAAATATGGTCATCTACCATTACCTGAAAGAACATTATTATAACAGAGAGAGAAAACTGGAACTTTCCATCAACTTTCCACCCAGAAAAAGAATTGGTCACCAGAATTCTAAAGAGTAATGTATGGCAGACACATGAAAAAATGCTCATCATCACTGGCCATCAGAGAAATGCAAATTGAAACCACTATGAGATATCATTTCACACCAGTTAGAATGGCAATCATTAAAAAGTCAGGAAACAACAGGTGCTGGAGAGGATGTGGAGAAATAGGAACACTTTTACACTGTTGGTGGGACTGTAAACTAGTTCAACCATTGTGGAAGACAGTGTGGAGATTCCTCAAGGATCAAGAATTAGAAATACCATTTGATCCAGCCATCCCATTACTGGATATATATGCAAAGGATTATAAATCATGCTGCTATAAAGACACATGCACATGTATGTTTATTGTGGCACTATTCACAATAGCAAAGACTTGGAACCAACCCATATGCCCATCAATGATAGACTGGATTAAGAAAATGTGGCACTTACACACCATGGAATACTATGCAGCATAAAAAATGATGAGTTCATGTCCTTTGTAGGGACATGGATGAAGCTGGAAACCATCATTCTGAGCAAACTGTTGCAAGGACAGAAAACCAAACACCACATGTTCTCACTCATAGGTGGGAACTGAACAATGAGAACACTTGGACACAGGATGGGGAACATCACACACCAGGGCCTGTCATGGGGTGGGGGGAGAGGGGAGGAATAGCATTAGGAGATATGCCTAATATAAATGACGAGTTAATGGGTGCAGCACACCAACATGGCACATGTATACATATTTAACAAACCTGCACGTTGTGCACATGTACCCTAGAACTTAAAGTATAATAATAATAATAAAGAGTAATGTATGGCTTGAAACGGTATATTTAATGGAACATGAGTTGGGTCTAATAAAAACCTTAAGAAATGTTAATCTAAAATCTCAATGTTAAGATTCCAGTTGAATGATACTAGAAAATATATTGTAACCCTCTTTGCTACCGATGACCTATTTCTCTTTTATTTCCTTTTTAATTATTGCATAATTTCTCAACATAACATGTCAAAACTTATACACCCTTAAATATTAAAAAATAATACAATGTAAGCAATGTTTTAAATACAATATTTAATGATTAGATACATTAGGTTTATTATATTACTTATAACATTCCATTATATAAAAATTCATTTGTTTATTTATTCAGATTAAACAACTATTAAGGCTGAATGTCTCATGTCTGTAACCCCAGCACTTTGAGAGGCTGAGGCGAGCAGAACACTTGAGCCCAACAGTTAAAGAAGAGCCTGGGTAACAAGGCAAAACCCTATCTCTACAAAACTCAGCCCAGCATGGTGACACAGGTCTATGGTGACATAGCTCTATTGTTTCAACTACTTGGATGGCTGAGGTGTGAGGATCACCTGAGCCTAGGAAATGGAGATTGGAGTGAGCCAAGATCTCACCAGTGCCCTCCAGCCTGGGTGACAGAGTGAAACCCCATCTCAAAAAACAACAAGTAAAATGCTTCTTACATGGAAGACTGTCTTCTAGGTACTCCAGGATACACACAAATATGTTTACTGACCTCTAGTAGCTTATGGTATGCAGGAGCTTCCAATGATGGGACAGTCCTATTTATTATCTCAGAAATATTCCTCTTTGCTGGATTCTTTTGAGCATTCTACCATTCTAGCCTAGCCCCTACTCCAGAATTAGGAGGGCATTGACCCCCAACAGGTATTTCTCCCCTTGACCCCCTGGAAGTACCTCTCCTGAATCCATCTGTATTACTTGCATCAGGAGTTTCAATTACTTGAGCCCATCACAGCCTAACAAAAAATAATCAAAAACATACAATCTAAGCACTACCTGTTACAATTATATTAGATATTTACTTCACCCTCCTACAAGTCTCAGAATACTTCAAAGCTCCCTTTGCTATTTCTGATGGTATTTATGGCTCAACATTTTTTATAGCTACAGGCTTTCACAGAATTCACGTCATTATTGGATCAACATTCCTCAGTCTGCCTTCTCCGCCAATTAAAATACCACTTTACATCTAGTCATCACTTTGCCTTTGAAGCCGCTGCCTGATATCGACACTTTGTAGATGTAGTATGACTATTCTTGTATGTTTCTACTTATTGATGAGGATCTTACTCTTTTAGTATAAATAGTACCATGATTTCCAAAGTTTTGATAGCATCCGAAAAACAGTAATTCACCTAACATTAACCCTAGTAATCAACACCCTATTAGCCCTGTTACTAATAATTATTACATTTTGGCTCCCACAACTTAATATATATATGTAGAGAGAGATAAAAATATATATATATGTATAAAATAAATATATATAGAAAAGTCTAGCCCTTATGAATGCAGATTTGACCCTCTATCCTCTGCCCACATTCCCTTCTCCATAAAATTCTTTCTAGTAGCCATCACATTTCCCCTATTTGAGTTAGAACTCGCCCTACTACTACCCTTACTGTGAGTCCTTCAAACAATCTGATACTAATAATCCCTGCGATATGTGTAGTGACTTCATACTTCACCCCCCCGGATATTACGGCCAATATCAGAGTGGAGTGTGCACCCCCTGCAATATGGGGAGTGATATCATCCTCTCCCCACTGGATGTTATGGACAAAATCGCAGGAGGTTTACTTTCTCTAGGTTATGGGGAAAAATATCCTCCTGTCCCCGCCTGGATGTTAGACATATTTAGAGGGGGTTGTCCACCCCCTGTGATATGGGGAGTAGTAATATCCTCTCCTGTCCTGGATGTTATGGACAATATATAGGGAGATGTACAATCCCTTCGATATGGGGAGTAATATCATCCTCTTCCCCCTAAACGTTACGAACAGTATCACAGGGGGGTGTACACCCCCTGCAATATCTGGAGTAGTATCATCCCCTTCTTCCCTAAATGTTACAGAGACTATCACAGGGGTGTGTACACCTTCTGAAACATGGGAATAATATTCTCTTCCTCTCTGGATGTTATTATGGACAACATTACAGCCGTGTGCACCCTCTATGATATGCAGAGTAATATCATCCTCTACCCCCCGGATGTAAGTGACAATACCACAAACGGGTTTACATCCCCCGTGATATGGGGAGTAATAACATCCTCTTCCCCACTGGATATTAACAATATCACTTGGGGATGTACAACCCCTGTGATATTCGGAATAATATCTTCTAATCCACTGAAAATTATAAACAATATCACCAGTGTACACTCCCTGTGATATTGGAAGTAATATCATCCTCTAATCCCCTAAAAATTATGAACAGTATCACAGGGTAGTGTATACTTCCTACTATATTGGGAGTAATATCATCCTGTCGTCTTCTAAATATTATGAACAATATTACAGGGGATGTAACACTCCCTGTGATATGTGGAGTAATATCATCCTCTCCTTCCCTAAATATTGTGAACAATATCACAGGACGTTGTACACAATCTGCGATATTGTTTGTAGTATCCAGTGGGAAAGAGGATGCTATTACTCCCCATATCACAGGGGGTGTACACCCCCACTGTGATATATTCAATAACATCCAGGAGTAATATTACTGACAAAATTGCAGGGGGTGTAAACCCCACCTGTGATACCATTCCTAATATCCCGGGGAAGACAGGATGATATTATTCCCAATATTGCAGGGGGTGTACACCCACCCTATGATATTGTTATTAATACCCAGGAGGGGAGACAATGGCATTACTCACAGTATCAAAGAGGTTGTACAGCCCCCCTGTGATAGTTTCTAATATCCAGGGGATGTATACCACCCTTGTGATATTGTTTCTAATATGTAGGGGGAAGGACAATGATATTACTGTCCGTATCACAGGGGGTGTACAACAAGCCCCCCGGGATATCATTCCTAATATCCATGGGAAGAAAGAATATTATAATATCACATAAGTTGTACATCCCCTCTGTGATATTGTTCCTAATATCAAAGACAGAAGGGTATGATGTTCTTCCCAAAATCACAGGAAGTGTATACACACCCTGTGCTATTTTTCCTAATATCGAGAGTGAGAGACAATGATACTTCCAATATCATAAGGAGTGTACACTCTCCCCGTGATACCAGGTGGGGAAATGTTGATATTACTCCAAATGTCACAGTGGGTGTACACACGTTTTGCGATATTGTTCCTAATATCAAGTGGGGAGGAGGATTGTATTACTCCCACCATATTACTCCCTACACCCCATTATACTGTTCTTAATATCCAGATTTGGAGAGGATGATATTACTCCCAAAATCTCAGGAGGTGTAGACCCCTTCTGTGATACTGTTTCTTATATCCAGGGGAAGAATAGATGATAGTACTCCCAACAGTGCAGGGTGTTACACGCCACCCCCCATGATATTGTCTCTAATATCAAGTTGGGGAGAGGGTGATATTGCTCCAAATAGTGTAAAGGGTGCACACCAGCACTGTGATATTATTCCTAGTATCCAGAGAAGGAGAGAATGGTATTATTTTTAATATCACAGAGGGTGGACACCCCCCTTGTGATACTGCTCCTAACATCCAAGGGGTAGAGGATGAAATTACTCCCAATATCACAGTGGGTATACACCCCTCCGTTGTATTGTTCCTAATATCCAGGGGGTATAGGATGATAGTACTATAAATATCACAAGGGGTGTACACCCCTTCTGATGTTGTTACTAATATCCGTGGGGGGAGTCGATGATATTACTTCCAATATCACAGGGCATGTACACCCCCCTTGTGATATTGTTCCTAATATCCTGGGAGGAGACTACAATATTACTGGCAATATCGCAGGGTGTGTGCATTCCCGTGATATTGTTCCTAATGTCCAGCAAGGGAGAAAATATTACTCCCAATATGGCGGGCGTGTACACTTCCCATGCGATATCGTTCCTAATATCCATGGGGGAAAAGGATGATATTACTCTAAATGGCGCAGGAAGTGTAAACCGCCCCTGTGATAATGTTCTCAATATCCATGGGGGGAGAGAATGATATTACTCCCAATATCACAGGTGGTGTACACCCCTCCTGTTATATTATTCCTAATATCCAAGTTGGATGAGAATAATATTACAGGTAAAATAGCAGGGGGTGTACACTCTGCCTGTGATATTGTTCCTAATATCCCAGGGAAGAGTGAACAATATTACTCTCAATATCACAGGATGTGTACACCCCCTTTGTGATATTGTTCCTAATATCCATAGGGGGAGGGGGTGATACCACTCCCAATAGTGCAGAAAAGGTACAGCCCCGCTGTGATATCATTCCTAATATCCAGAGGGGACAGGATGATATTACTCCCAATATCACAGAGGGCATACACCCCCTCCCCATGATATTGTTCATAATACCCAGGGGGTGGAGGATGATATTACTCCCAATATCGCAGTGGGTGTACACCCACCCTGTGATATTGTTCCTAATATCCATGTGGAAAGGGTATAAAGTTACTCCCAATATCACAGGGGTTGTACAACCCCCTTGTGATATTGTTCCTTATATTCGGGGGAGAGACAATGATATAGCTGTCCATATTGCAGGTGGTGTACCACCCCTGGGAATTTGTTCCTAATATTCAGTGGGGAAGATGATATTAATTAAAATGTCACGGGGGGTATAAAACCCCTTTGTGATATTATTCCTAATATCCAGGGATGAAAGAATATTATTCCCAATATCGCAGGGGATGTACACCCCTCTCTGATACTTTTTCTAATATCCCTTTGGGAAGTCTATAATATTACTGGCAATATCATAAGGAGTGTATACCCCCCGTTATATTTTTCCTTATGTCCAGCAAGGGAGAAAATATTAATCCCAATATGGAACAGGGTGTACACACCCATGAGGTATTGTTCCTAATATCCAGGGAGGGAAAGGATGATATTACTCCCAATGTTGCAGTGGTGTATAACCCCCCGTGATATTGTTCCTAATATCTAGGTGGGGAAAGTACAGTATTACTCCCAATATGGCAGGGGTTGTACACCACCTTTGTGATATTGTTCTACATATCCATGGGGAAAGAAAATGATAGTACTCCATAATATCACAGGTGGTGTACAACCCCTTGTGATACTGTTTCTAATATCCATGTTGGGGGAGGATATTACTCCCAATATTGCAGGTGTTGCACAGACCCCCTTTGATATTGCTTGTACTATGCAGGGTGTGGGGGGAGAGGATGATATTGGGAGTAATATCACCCTCTCTCCCCGGATATTAAAAGCAATATTCAGGGTGGTCGACACTTCCTGCAATATTGAGTATAATATCCTCTCCCAACCTGGATATTAGGAACAATATCACAGGGGCATGTACACTCCCTTCCTTTCACCATATAAAAAAATCAACTCAAGATGGATGAAGGACTTATGTAAGACCCAAAACTATATAAACCCTAGAAGAAAACTTAGGAAATATCATTCTGGACATAGACGCAGGCAAATATTTCATGATGAAGATTCCAAAAGCAATTGCAACAAGAAGAATTGATGAGTGGGACCTAATGAAACTAAAGAGCTTCAGCACAGCAAAAGAAACTATCAACAGAGAACACCCTACAGAACAGAAGAAAATATTTTCAAATTACATATCTGAAAAAGGTCTAATACTTAGCATGTATAAAGAATCAATAAGCAAAAAACAAACCCACTACAAATAGGCAAAGAACATGAGCCCCCACATTCACCATCCTCAAGTCCATGTGCAACTTCTTTCTGAATGCTGGACAAGGACTTGGATACCAAGAGGGCACTGAAAGGGTTAACACTTAAGCCGTCTGTGAATTCTTTTTTCAAAATACAACGTATGTATGGCAAACAACCGTATGAAAAAATACTCAACATCACTAATCATCAGAAAATCAGAACCATGAGATACCATATCACACCGGCCAGAATGGCTATTATTAAAAAATCAAAACATAACAGACGGTGCCGAGTTTGTGGAAAAAAGGGAATGCTTATACACTGCTGGTGGTGATATAGAAAGGAGACAGGGAAATACTGGGTAGAAGAGAGTGGTTCCCTGGCAAAGCCCTGCCCACAAGCCTGGAAACCCATGGCCCTAAATGGGAACAGGCATTCCTGCTTTTGCACCCAAAAGTTGTCTTTCAGCTCACCATGCACCCCCTGTCCTGTACCCATATATGCCCCAGACCCCAGGCTCCAGAAGCAGACAAGCAGATGAGGAGATGAACAGAAGAGCAGAATTGCAGAATGATGTGGCAGAAAGAAGAGAAGGAGCATCTGAATGCCAAGAGGAGTTTGGCTGGCAGTGGTTGTAGAGATCAGCCTCTGGATGGCAAGCAGATGAGGAGATGAACAGAAGAGCAGAATTGCAGAATGATGTGGCAGAAAGAAGAGAAGGAGCATCTGAATGCCTAGAGGAGTTTGGCTGGCAGTGGTTGGAGAGATCAGCCTCTGGATGGCAAAGCTCCGGGGGAAGATCATCTTCCCATTCCATCCCCTTTCCAGCTCCCCATCCATCCCATTGAGTGCCACCTCCACCACTCAATAAAACCCCCACATTCACCATCCTCAAGTCTGTGTGCAACTTAATTCTTTCTGGATGCTGGACAAGGAACTGGGTACCAAGAGGGCACTGAACAGGTTAACACTTAAGCCGTCTGTGGATGGCAAAGCTAAAAGAGTGCACTGTAACACATGCCCACTTGGGCTGTGGGAGTCGCAGGAACCCACCCCTAGACAGTACCATGGCCACTTGCCCTGCCTATTGCACCTGCCTGTCTGCATGCTCCCCTGCCCAGTAAGGGGTTTGACAGCACACACGGTGGCCAGACAAGCCACACCCCTGTTGCACATCCTGCCAAGGGGAGTCAGGGAAGTCTCCAGTTTCATCAGGAATGTAAATTTGTTCAGCCATTGTGGAAAGCAGTTTGGAGATTTCTGAAATAACTTAAAACAGAACTACCATTCAACCCAGCAATCCCATTATTGGGTATATACCCAAAGGAATATAAATCATTCTGTCATAGACATATGCACGCATATTTTCATTATAACACTATTCACAATAGCAAAGACACGGAATCAACTTAGATGCCTGTTAACAGAAGACTGGATTAAAAAAATGCAGCGTACATACACCATGGAATACTACACACCTATAAAATAGGATGAAATAATGTCTTTTGCAGCAACATGAATGGAGCTGGAGACCATTATTCTAAGTGAATTAATGAAGGAACAGAAAACCAAACAAACACTGCATGTTCTCACTTATAAGTGGGGGCTAAACATTGAGTCCACATGGACACAGAGAAGGGAACAATAGACACAAGGTCTACTGTGGGTGGAGGGTTGGTGGAGAGTGAGGATCAAAAAACTCCCTATTAGATATTACGTTCACTACCTGGATGACTACCTAATCTGTACACCAAATCCCATTGACACACATTTTACCCATATAATAAACCTGCACATGTACCCGCTGAACCTAAAATAAATGTTGGAAGGAAATAAAGTTACAACCAACTCTTGTACTATGAGGAAACAATCATATGTGTTGACAAAAAATCAGCTACTAATAGATTTATAATAGTATATATGTAGCAGAAAAATATCAGATATAACTTATATACCCAAAAGTATGACTTAAAAACAGCATGACAATCTTTATGATGGGATATTGTGAAACTACTAGAAGCACATTTTCAGAGATTATTTATTAACATATGATAATGACTACATTGAGTGGTTTTTAGAAGCATGAATTGAAACCATGTATAAGCATGACTTTATTGAACTTATATATAACATTACACACACATTTACATAATTATAAAATAAGTATGCTCATGTTCATAATATGTATTTATTTATATTCATATGTAAGGCCAATAGGAAGTAATCTCTGTATCTGAGTTATTATTTCATAAATAATTTATGCTTGTTCTGTGAAAATAAAAGCACTGCTATGGATCTTCCAAGTATCCTGAAAGGATACCGTTTATAATTAAACAATAACAATTTTAGAAATAATTATTTTAAATAAGGCTATGATAAATCTGGTTTCATTGCACACTTTAACTTTGGAACATTTCATGAAGCGTCCCTTGATCACGACTCTCATATTCCGGAGTTTTTTGAGATCAAAATGGGACAATCAGTATGAATCTATTTTTTAGACATGCAAATGGATAACTTTAAATAGCAGTAGCGATATAATCAGAGTGCACAGTTGCTCTGGGACAAAACTTGGAAATCAGCATATTTTTAGATTCTTAATGTTTTACACACTTTAGCATGCCACAGCACCATTACATACTCATTTTTCTACTAGAATACCTTGGTAAAAATTCACAGTAGAGATCAGGCTTGTCCTTCATACATTAACTAATCAAGCAGGAAAGTGCAAATGAGAACACAGTGCCAAATATAGGCACCACATGGAAACAAGCATGGAACTGCCAGGAAGCCATTTTTGTAGCTTTGTAGCCCAATTATATTTTTCCTAATGTATTGCACACAAAACTTGGGGGAAAAAAAAGAGGCAGAGAGAAAACAGGTTATATCAGCTCTATCTCACAATCCACAAGTTCATCCTATTAGAGGAGTAACTATGTAAAACAAATTTTATCTGTTGAATGTCCTATTTAGTTAATCGCAAAACTGTATGAGAACACACTTGTGACTTATTTAGCAGCTTGTTTGTTCGCTTTCCACTGGCTTCACAAATGTCCTTTGGAAATAGAATGTATATTTGGAACCCTGTACACCTTTTCTTTCTCCAGTAACCTGTTGTCACTTCCATCACTAAGGTGACAGAAGCAACTAGGGGCAATGCATTTGTAGCACACCTGGGTCAGAGGTATCCTCCAGGGGAAGGATCAGACCTGCTTGAAAGCATGTCGTTGGAATTGGGAGGCTTCTAGTAGCTATAACATAAGCACTGATGTTTACTGTTCCCTGCCCTCAACTTTGATCACTCTGGGAAAAGTTTTTTTTTTTTAAATCCATTGTATTGAAACATAATTTACATAAAATAAATACTATTTTAAAGTGCACAGTTTGCTGAGTTTTGCCAGATGTAACCATCCAGGTGAATAAAATTGATTAAACTGATCTTTCAAATAATAAATTAACTTTGCAATCTTGCTAGAAAATTAATTTGTTCACAGTTTATTATCCATTCTATGTACTGCTACATTCAATTGGTTATTATGTTTTAAGGACTTTTGAGTCTATGTTTATGAGGGATAAACATCAAAGTTGTATAATGCCTTTGTCTCGATTTGGAATCGGCAATACTGGGTTCATAAAATAAGATAGGAAATGTCCCTTTAAATTTTCTTTTTTTTTTTTTTTTTTTTTTGAGACGGAGATTCACTCTTGTTGCCCAGGCTGGAGTGCAATGGCACAATTTAGGCTCTCCACAATCTCTGCCTCCCAGATTCAAGCTATTCTCCTGCCTCTGTCTCCCAAGGAGCTGGGATTACAGGTAAGCGCCACCACACCCTGCTAATTATGTACTTTTAGTAGAGACGGGGGTTTCTCCTTGCTGGTCAGGTTGGTCTCAAACTCCTGACCCCAGGTGATCTGCCAGTCTTGGCCTCCCAAAGTGCTGGGATTACATGTGTGAGCCACTGTGCCTGGCCCTTAAATTCTATTTCTTAAAAAGAGTCCGTTCAAGATTGATATTATAGATATTCCTTAACTTACAATTGTCTTATGTCTTAATGAACTCATCCTAAATTGAAAATATTGTAAGTCTAAAACGCATTTAATATATTTAACCTACTGAATATCATGACTTAGCCTCGCCTACCTTAAACTTGCTCAGAACACTTACATTATCCTACAATTGGGCAAAATCATCTACCACAAGACCCATTTTAAAATATTCAGTATCTCATGAAATTTATTGAAAACTACACTGATAGTGAAAAACTGGTCATATTGATGCTCATCATTAATGTACACAGATGAAAGCACCATTATCAAGTCAGAAGAGCACAAGTCAAACCACTGTAAGTTGAGGACTCTCTGTACTTTCTTAAATGTTTGATAGAATTCACCTAAGAAAGCATGTAGCCTGTAAGTATAGAAATCTTTTTAAATTAAAAAAAATTCTTCAATACATAGAGAAGCTATTACTTTTTCTATTTCATTTTGCATCAGTTTTAAGAATTAGTTTTACAAATAATTTCCCATGTTATTTTAATTGTCAAATGTATTGGCCTAAAGTTTTCATAATTATATTGATGTCTGTAGGTTCTGTAGTTACATCTTCTATTTAATTCCCATTATCTACATTATGTAGCTTCTCTAAATTTTTTCGAGATAAATCTTGCTAGCCATTGTTTATTAAAAAAATTTTTTTCAAAGAACCAATTTGTGGGTATATTAATTAGCTCCACCTTTTGTTATTTGCTATGTTGTTGGTTTACATTTTTATCTTTATCATCTTCCTTCTTCTTAATTTGGATATACTTTGCTCATTTTTTAGCCTCTTAAAAAAGAACCTAAAGGTCATTGATTGAAGCCTTTTATTTTCAGTATATTACATCTATAAATGTACCTTTAAGAAAAGATTTATCTGCATCCCACATTTTATTAAGTTTTTAAAAAATTTTCTTTCAGTTTAAACTATTTTTTTTTTTGTGTGTGAAACTTTTCTTGGCCAATGGGTTTTTCTGAAGTATTTTGTTTAATGTTCAAATGTTGGGGTGTTATTGTACATATCCTACTGTTGTCCATCTCTGGTTCATGATACAATGCATGTTCTCCATTGCACTTAGATAACATGCCTCCATGTCTCTGGAGAATTCCTCAGTCTTTCTAAAATGCTTTTGATGAATACTGGCAGTTATTTTGTAGAATGTCCCTCCTCAATTTCAGTTAGTCTGATGTTTTCTCACGGTTAGGACTAAAGTTATACATTTTGTCTAAGAATACCATAGAATTGATGTTTTGTCCTACTCAGTGCATCATATAAGAAGTTACATGAAGTTCATTTATCTTATTATTAGTAACGTTAACTTTGATCACTTGGCTAAGTTGACATCTCCACTTTGAAGTTACTATTCTATAATTATGTTGTGGGAAGATACTTTCATATTATGCAAATATGTTCTTTCCCAACATATATTCACCACTAATCTTAGCATCCCTCCAAGGTTCTTTCTTGCAACAATTATTACTGTGATATTTGCAAAGTGATGATTCTTATATTTTATGTCTCCTACATTTAATGAAATTTTACTGTAATAAATACTACCCATTCTCAATCTTTGGTTTATTATTTATGTCAATATGGATTTTTTTTTAGTTGGAGTCTTGTTTTGTCATCCAGGCTGTTGTGCAATGGTGCGATTTCCGCTCACTGCACTTCCACCTTCCGGGATTCAAGCCATTCTCCTGCCTCAGCCTCCAGAGTAGCTGGGACTACAGGCATGGGCCACCATGCCCGGCTAATTTTTGTATTTTTAGTAGAGGCAGGGATTCACCACATTGGTCAGGCTGGTCTCGAACTCCTGACCTCAAGTGACCTGCCCGCCTCTGCCTTCCAAAGTTCTGGGAATACAGGCATCAGCAACCGCACCTGGCCTGGATTAATTGAAAATTTTCTTCTGTAGATTGTAATATATTACTATTGTTATCTATTTTATTGCCCCAATTTTCTCAAATTTGGCTATGGAAGTTTATTCAAAATGGATCTGTTTCCCTTTCACATTTTCCCCATTTTGTGAGCATTTCCTTACTTCCTAACATGACAAAATATTTCAAACTAATGTTGTATTTTCCCTGGCCAATCCTGATATCAAATATGTCCCCAAGGAGCCTTGGTTCCTTTAATTGGAGAATGGTGTTCTCATTGTTACTGGGATGATGTTGTTTCTAGGCCCTTTTGTTAGAGGAGCTAGAAAATATATGTATGTATACTCACACATTTATACACATCTGTACTTATTTATACAATTATCCATCTGTATGTATACTGCACAGCTCCTTGAATATTCTAAAAACCACTCAATTGTATACTTTCTTTTTTTCTTTAGTTATTTAAAGACAGGGTCTCCTTTTGTCACCCATGCTGTAGTGCAGTGGTGCCATCTGGTCTCACTGCAACCTATGGCTTCTGGGCTCAAGTGATCTTCCAGTCTCATGTCCCCAAGTAGTTGGGACTACAGGCATGAGCCACCACATCCAGCTAATTTTTGTATTTTTGCTAGAGATGCTGTTTTGCCATGTTGCCCAGGCTAGTCGCAAACTCCTGAACACAAGCGATCCACCTGCCTCAGCTGCCCAAAGTCTTAGCGTTATAGGAATTAGCCACTGCACCTGGCCTGAATTGCGTACTTTGATAAATGAATTGCATGATACGTTAACCATATTTCAATAACGTTATTATTTTAAAAATGGCTGGGCATGGCGTGGTGACTCACGCCTCTGATCTCAGCACACTGGGAGGCCAAGGTGGGTGGATTGCCTGATTTCAGGAGTTCGAGACCAGTCTGGCCAACATACTGAAACTCTGTCTCTACTAAAAATACAAAAATATTAGCTGAGAGTGGTGACATGGGCCTGTAATTCCAGCTAGTCTGGAGGCTGAGGCAGGGGAGTTGCTTGAACCAGGGAGGTGGAGGTTGCAGTCAGCTGAGATCACACCACTGCATTCCAGCCTGCATGACAGAGTAAGAGTCCGTCTCCAAAAGAAAGAAAGAAAAAGAAAATGGGCATTGAACACAGGTGGCTCCCACCTACATATAATCCAAGCACTTTGGGAAGCTGAGGCAGAATGATCACTTGAGGCCAGGAGTCTGACAACATCCTGAGATTTAGCCTTTAAAATGAACCAGTAAAAGAAAGTAAATTGGTGAGATGCAGTGGTTCATGCCCATAATCCCAGCATTTTGTGAAGTTGAGGTGGGAGGATCACGTGAGCCCAGAAATTTGAGACCAGCCTGGGCAACATAACAAGACCCCATCTCTACAAAAAGTAAAAGAACATAGCCAGATATGCTGGTACAGGCCTATAATCTCAGCTATTTGGGAGGCTGAGGTGGGAGGATCACTTGAGCCCAGGAGTCCCATGCTACAGTGAGCTTTGATCACACCACTGCATTCCAGCCTGGCAACAGACTGAGACCCTGTATCTCAGAAAAAAAAGAAAACAATCTGTTTTTCTGAGTTCTGCAAGCTGTCCGAGCAAATGATTCCACCCACCAATGAGGGTCATTAAACCTTGTTTTCTAACTGGTTGGTCAAAACTACATGTAACAACCCAAGACTTGCAATTGGCATGTGGAGTGAGAGTAGACTCCTGGGACTGAGCGCCCCTCCTGCGGGGTCTGCACTAACTCCAGGGAGTGTCAGGATAGAATTGTGGGATACCCAGTTGGGATCCAGATTGTCTGAAAATCAGTGTAGAAACTCCACATGCACATTTGGTCAGAGGTGTTTGACCGTAACTACTATTCACGAAAAAGGTCTTCTCATTAGAACTAAAAATCACAAAATTGTAAGTTCTACAAAAACAAATCAACCTTATCTACCGCCCAGTCCTACTGAAATACAGAATGTGAGAACAGAAGGTCTGACCATGGAGTCGAGAGCTGACAGGAATGTCACCACCATCCTGCTCTCCAAGGACTCCTCATCTTCAACAGACTCCTCATCTTCAATGGGCAGGGTGGAAACTGCAACTTGTGCCATGATCCTTGCACAAGAAAAGTAGTAAGAAAATGAGTGGTAGAAATCCAGTGTCCTAAACTCACATCCAGAGCTGTGAGAGTTTTTTACTGGCTGGATAATTCACAGTTTTCTTGAATCAGGGGAAAAATAAGACTCAGAAACTAGGAATTC